>NC_000002.12:20388543-20540058 GCF_000001405.40 Homo sapiens | reverse complement strand
TCCAGCCGGGACCTCCCACATGAGGCTCATTCATCTATGCCCAGGATTCTCAAAGAACCCCGGCCCCAGCCTGCTCTCTGTCATGTGCTGAGCCCCAAGCTTACCCATGCCTCCTGCCGTGGGGACCAGAGAATGAGAAGACCACCAGGGAGACCCGCCCTGGAGACCATGGTGTGCTGCTGACTCACGGTGAGGCGGTTTCCTGAGGCGGGAGCGAGCCCCAGCCACCCACAGGAGTGTCTTCCAAGGGAGTGGAGGTGTGGGGAGACCAAGGCAAGCCCTAAAGGGTGCCAGGTATGGAGAGGGACAGAGGGGAGAGTCCACATCCAGGCCTCTACTGGGATGGGTGTGGTTTCTCCAGGGACAAAGCCATGAGTGAGGAACCTTATGATGGAGTGTGGGAGAAGGGGTGGGGGGCTCCAAGGAGGCTCAGCCAGTACCCAGGGCTGCTGTCTTCCCAGCGTGACTCACCGGGGCTTCTCCTCCTCCACCCAGCCCTGCCCCTCCATCTGTAAGATCTTTGATCTCACAAACATATTCTGTGCCCTTCCAGAGAATGACATCACCAAGTGTGCCCTCTGTCCTGTCACTTGGAGCTCCTGGAAGCACAGAATGTCCCTCAGCCTGGACACTGCCCCTGGCCTGGGGAGGTAGATGCTCCCCACCTCCCCTCCTGCCCTAGTGCAGAGGAAAGAAGATCAAATCTGGAGTCAGCAGACATAGGAGTCTAATCCCTGGTTCTGATATATCTAGGCAGTCATTGCCTTAGCCACACTCAGCCTTAATCTCCTGATCTGCAAAATGGGGAGAACCACACTAACTTTGCAGTTTGCGGTGAGAGTCAAGGAAACCCACGTGAGAAGTGTCTGGCACTGTGCCTCGCATGTAGTAAGTACTCACTAAATACTCGTTTACAGTTTTTTTCCCCTCCCTGTCTTAACCTTTTTTTCTCCAGTAAGTGACTGGGGACAGGAGTCCACTCTAAGAACCTCTGCCTGCCCTCAGAACTCCGTGGCCAGTGAGGGCTGCATGACCCCTTTGTGCTGGGAAGGTGCATCTCAGGACACTGACCTGCCTGTGCCCAGGCTCATGGTGTGGGCAGAGAAACTGTGGGTGAGACCTTTGTGAAAATGGAAACCCAGATGACCGGGAAGGGGAGGGGCCCCAGGAGGAGGGAGAACCAAAGGTCCTTGCTGTCTGTTATTCCACCTGTTTGTTTTCCCCTAATCCCCAGCCCACAGGGAGCTGCCACATTTCCCCTGACTCCCCCAGCGGGCCCAGCTCAGGGGCAGAGGCCGAGCAACACAAGCTGATCAGGCCACCATCACTGTTGGCTTCTGTGCCCAGGGGGTCCCTGCAGCCACCATCAGGAAAGCTCCCACCCTGGGGACAGTCTCTCCTGCCTCCTGTTCTTCCTGGGGTCAAAGACGTGCTCCTGCTCAAGGGTGAGCAGGTGCATGGGCTGGTGCCACCAGCTGGTACAGTGGCTCCCTTCTGCTCCCATGAGGGGCCTGGGAGATATTTCAGGGCTCTGTCCTCAGCCAAGCGTGGACTCAGCCAAACACTTGGGCAGGAGGGATGGTATCTTGTTGCCTTCAGGGCTTGGCTGAGCCCAGGGTCGAGAGCATTTTCAGATAGATGCCTGCTAACACACCAAACACGTCACTCCTTAACAAGATCTCCCTTGTGCCAGGGCTTGAGCTGAGCTCCAGGGAGTGAGAGAAAGGGGACCTAACAGACTTGTGGGAGACGAGCGTGAAGACAAAGCAATGACCCCAGATAGGCCAGTCGCAAATGCCAGGAAAGATCCACGGACCCTGGAGTTTCACCTGGACCTTGAGAAACAGAATTTGAATATTGTGGAGATTAACAAAACAAAACACCACAGGAGCAAAGGTCCTGAGTGAAGCTGGCCCTTTGGGGCTGGTGTATCTGGTCAGCTGGTAGGCATGGAGGGCCCACCCCACGGGGAGAAGCCAGGCAGAGAAAGAAGGCTGGAGGCGGCCGGAAAAGACGGAAAAGACACAGGTGTCAGGCGACGTTTGAATTGATTTTCAGCACTAGGGAGCCATCTCTGATCAGGGAGTGGAGTGAGCAGAAATGCCTTCTGGAGGAGGCCTTGAAACCACCTTTGCAAAAATGGTATCAGTGAGAAAATTATGACAGTGAAAGAGATCTCAGCTAACCTACCCCCAATCTTTCCTTTCCCTTCCTTATTCCTGGGTATTGGGCCGAGCTAACTTTGAAGACATTTAGGCTGTAGTTTAAATGGTAACAGGCCTTGTCCCAAAACGCAGCTGCTTTTGTAAAGCTAATGAGAGGCCATCAGGCCTGGGGGAGTAGAGGGCCCTGACTCCTGCTAAGGCGCAGACATAAAAGACTGTCAGCCACGATGCCAGAGGTCAGAAGACAGGCAACTTCCCTAATTACTCCTGCAAATAATGCCAATGTTGTGAACCTAAGGTCGGCCTTCCGAGATACCTTTTCAGGCCTTTTGCATGTCTGACACCCATGGCTCCACCTGGACCCGCCAACCTTGCCCCTGTGGCCCCACCCAGAAGTGACTCAGCACCCAGGAGGACAGCTTCGACCCCCTAAGATTTCATCTCTGCCAACAGCAAGCACCTGTTACCTGGCCACCCCCAACTCTTCCCCCAAACTGCCTTTGAAAAACCCCTAACCTACAAGCTTTGAAGATAATTTCAGTACTAACTCTGTCTCCCACATGGCACGGCGGGCCTTGGGTCTGTTCAATTCTTTCTTTACTGCAATTCCACGACCTTTCTTCATGCAGTGGGCAGGAAGAACTCCTCCAGTGATTACAGCCTGGGGTGCAGGGTCTGGATGGACGGAGCAGCACCTGGAGAGGGCCGTTAACCCTCTGTTGTCCATGTGTGGCTAGGCGAGGGCTGCAGCCAGACCCATGGCCTTATCTGCCTGCAGGGCCCGCCTGAGCCCTCAGTGACAGACACAGGTTTCTAAGCCAACCCAGAGGGGATGCAGAGCCCTCCCTTTGGAGAGTTGAGATCCTGCTGAACCTAGGAAAGTACTGAAACACCAGCAGAGAGCTCACAGAGCAGCCATGGCCAGGGCTCAGGCACTGCCTGCGGCCCACCCTGGAGCTCCCACGCCCACCTGTCTCATCTTTCCAGAACTGGCCCATCTCTGCAGAGTTGGCAGCAGGTCCTCCTGCCAGCTGAGAGCCAGCTCCAGGACTCCTTGGCTTTTTCCAGGCAGAGCCCAAGGCCCAGGTGCCAAACCCGTGTCCCAGCTCTTCTTGGCAGGCCTGGCCCTTGTTTGTCTTTGGGTTTTTCAACTTTTTATTTTGGAATCATTACAGACAAGTTGCAACGATAGTACAGAGAGTTCGTTCCCATGTACCCTCACCCAGCTTCCGCTAGTGTTAACGTCTTACATAACCGTGGTACACTTGTCAAAGCAAAGAAATTAACATTGGAACAATACTATTAATTGAACTACAGACTTTATTTGGATTTTAGAGTTTTTCCTTAAGGGACATTACAGTGTCATTTTTCTTGCCTAGGCCCAATCCCGGTTGCCACGTTGCATTTAGTTGTCACGTCCTTTGGTCTCCTTTCACCTGGGACCACTTCTCAGGGTTTCCTTGCTTCTTATGACCTTGACAATTTTTTTTAAATTATGGTAAAATAGATACGTAACATATTGCTATTTTAACCATCTTTAAGTGTATAATTAAGTGGCAGTAATTGCATTCACAATGTTGTGAAACCATCATCACTATTTCCAAAACAGAAACTCTGCCCCTTAACCAGTAACTCTCCACTCCCCTCCTCCCAGGTACCTTTTTTTTTTTTCTTTTGCGACAGAGTCTTGCTCTGTTGCCCAGGCTGCAATGATCTTGGCTCACTGCAACCTCCACTTCCCAGGTTCAAGCAATTCTCCTGCCTCAGCCTCCCGAGTAGCTGGGATTACAGGTGCCTGCCAACATGCCCAGCCAGTTGTTTGTATTTTTAGTAGAGACGGGGTTTTGCCATGTTGGCCAGGCTGGTCTCGAACTCCTGACCTCAGGTGAGCCACCCACCTCGGCCTCCCAAAGTGCTGGGATTATAGGCGTGAGCCACCGCACCTGGCCCCAGGTACCTCTTAAGAGGCTTAGAGGAGCCCCTACCACAGCCTCATGCCCAAGAAAGAGGTCTTGTTGTTTCTGGCCAGAATTGGTCCTTCCAGACCCTAAAGCTACACAAAGAAGCCTGCAGGAGTCGCTCCCTTCCTTATGGTGTCCATGGTGGGCACGAATCCTTGATCCTTAGCAAAATGCATACTCACTAAGGGTAGAGAGAAGTAGAAAGTCCCCATCCTGCCCCCTTCTCCTGTGTTGGCTTTTGTTTGTTTGTGTTTGTTTGTTTGTTTTCTGAGATAGGCGCTTGCTCTGTCAGGGCTGGAATGCAGTGGTGCAATCACGGCTCACTGTAGCCTTGACCAACCCCCCACCCGGGCTCAAGTGATCCTTGGGCCTCAGCCTCCTGAGTAGCTTACGCACCACCACACTCAGCTAATTTTTAATTTTTTTTTTGTAGAGACTTGGTGTCCCTGTGTTGCCCAGGGTGGTCCTGTACTGGCTTTTTAACAAAGGCTGAGACACCTTAGACATAGCTACTGACAGCTCCCTGGCTGAAGTCCGAACACCCAGCACTAGCATTTCTCTTTGTGGGGTCAATGTGGGGTTCTCAGAGGAGTCTACCCAGGCAGAGCACCCTAGATAGAGGTGCCCACTGCCCACCGGCCCCAGCTGTTATCACCATCGTGGTAGTCATGCAGACGAGAGTATCACTCTGCATAACTGCAGTCCCAAATTGGGGATGCCATCCTCAACAGGCTGTCTCCAAGGGCACACTGGACACAGGATGGCCTCAAAGCCAGGGGTGTGAGACCAGAGCCCGCACCATGCGGGCCTCTGCCACCTTGTAACAGGCATGGGACAGCAATGTGCCTGGCTTCCTGCCCCCAGGGCCACAGCCTTCTGGCCACAATCAGCAGACTCAGCCCTGCCACAGATCCGGGCACTCAGGACCCGGGCGCCCGTTGCCAGACTCCTGTCATCGGTCTCCAGCCACCTGTCCAGACACTCGTGCACCCCGATGGAACGTACTTGCTGCTTCCTCCCCTTTCCCTTACAAAATATCCTTCTATAACTCTTCATGGCACCAAACCTTTTACCAGTATATGCAGAGCCTGTTTGTCTCCGAATCCAGTTTAGCTTTCCCAGTACAGTGACCAACTCATCTCAGTTTACTCAGGACTTCCCTGGTTTTCACACGGAAAGTCCTGTGTCCTGGGCAGCCCCTCAGTCCCAGGAAACCAGGATGGTTGCTCACCCTATTTCCCAGCCTCTGCACCTACCAATCCCCACCGGGAAAGCCCAGATTATTCACACCTCCACGTAGCCATCTCTCCTGACCTCCAGCCTTCACAAATGCTGTTCCCTCCACCTGAATGCCCTTCCTCATCTTTGACTATCAAAAGCCAATGCAATGTTCAAGTCCAGCTCCTCTGTGAGGGCTTCCTGGTCCCCACCCTGGAGTCAGAGCTCCCTCCTCCATCCCCCTGGGGCTCACTTTGAAGCTCCAAAGGGAAGGGCCTCAGGGCTGGGGCAAGGCATGGATCCCCCTGAGTGTGCAAAGCGTCAGAATCAGTAACTGGCACAGCTCCAGCTGCCTCCCTCTCCTCACCCAGTAGTGAGCAACACGAGGGCAGAGACGGCTGGTTTTACCCCCTGTTACACATCAGGTGCTCATTAATACTGTATTCCCAACCTCCTCCAGCTGTGTTTGTCGGCCCCTCGGGCCTCATGTTGTTGCTCTGGCACCCCAGGGGCTCAGGTGGAGCCACGGCCAGGACAGGCCTCACCATTGGCAAGGGCACTCAAGCTCCCAGGTGGACTCCCAACCTATCCAGGCACTACAGCCAAGGGTAAGAGCCCTGGACTGGGGCCGACCTGCTTCCAATGACCCACCGTCCAACCTCGCCTTACCTTATCCGTAGGAGCCATTTGACAAGCTCTTGTTGAACAAATGCTACACATGAACACATGGGCTGTGTCCTGAAGGTGAGTAATGGCTTCCTAGGGGCGTGGGAGAGTGGATGTATGCAGTGGGAGGTTGGGCTAGGCAGTTGTGGGCAAGAAAGGTGCCCTCTAGCACCCTGGACACAAGAGCAGGCTGCAAACAATTGGTAGAAATGGTAGCAGGAGGAGAAGTCCCTGGGTGAGTCTTTGGGGCCCTGCTCAAGTGGGGAGGCCCACAGGCTCCCAGGAGGGAGCTCTCTCAGCCCCAGAGGGCTGCTAGTAGCAAGGGTTAAGAACCACTCCTCGGCTGGGCGCGGTGGCTCACACCTGTAATCCTAGCACTTTGGGAGGCTGACGCAGGCAGACTGCCTGAGTTCAGGAATTCGCGAACAGCTTGGGCAACACGGTGAAACCCAGTCTCTACTAAAATACAAAAAAAATTGGCCGGGCACGGCGGCTTGTGCCTGTAGTCCCTGCTACTCGAGAGGCTAAGGCAGGAGAATTGCTTGAACTCAGGAGGCGGAGGTTGCAGTGAGCCGAGATGGCGCCACTGCACTCCAGCCTGGGCGACAGAAAGAGACTCTTTCTCAAAAAAAAAAAAAAGAAAAAAAAAGAACCACTCCTCAAGCAGCCAACTGGGGGCAGATAGTAGGAATCAGAGCAGAGTGGCCAGCCAGAGGCCAGGGATGGGACCTACACATTCCTAAGTAAGCAATTTCGCTTTAGGGGAGAAGGCGTGGTGTGGAGGGAGGGTGGGAGAAACAGATGCATGAGGGAAACTCCTGTCCCAAGCCAGAAGGGGCAGTTGCAGCCCACATCCCAGCAGGACAGGGAGGAGTGGACAAGGCTGGGTCGGGCTGGTGCTGCAGAGAGCCAGTGGCGTTGATGTGGCCCCACCCTAGGGCAGGAAGACAATACCAGGCAGGGCAGGGCAAGGCAGCGGTGGGTGACCCTGGCTGAAGTCCAGAGACCCCTGCTTCCTTTTGGGAGACGGCTTTCACAGCACGCCTTGGCATCTGGTGGGGCAAACAATGGAGGCTTCTGGCAGCCGCAGAGAGCAAGGCATGGTGAGAGGCATGGACAGCTCCCCACCACCCGTGAAGCTGAATTGGACGGGATACAGGGCTGGGGTGAGGTGAGGACCCCCTGAGAGTGCAAAATGTCGGAGCCAGTAGCTGCCACAGAGGGCAGTGGACGTGGAGCTGGGGGCAGGGGTGTGGGGACTGATGGCAGCAGCCGTTGATTCTACAGCAGTCCCTGAACTATGCACTTCACTTGCATTCATTCAGCAAACATTTACGGAGGCCTACTGGGCGCCAGGGACAGAACAATGAACAGCGTAAACGTGGCCCCTCTGTCTTCTCAGTTTTTCTCCCCTGCCCTGGCACATGAGGCCAGCATTATTATCCTTACCTTAAAAAATCAAGGAATTGAAGCTCAGAGAGATAGAGGTGGTGGGAACCCTCAGCAGTGTGGCAGACAGATTTCCACCCTCCTGCCAGACGTCCTGGGCGTGCCTCCACCTCCCATACCGCAGGGCCTGTCAATTCCTCCCAGCTGCCAAGGATCCAGGGACCCTCCTCTGAAATTCTGAAACTGTCAAGGCCAGAAGGTGGCTGTTTCCTTGCAGTTTCTGGGAAGATGTGAATTGCAGCAAGCCTGCGACACAGGGACCTCCCAACACGTATGCCACCCTCCTGGTATCTCCCCTAGATGCCCAGCACGGTTGCTCTTTGAGAATGTTTTATTATGTGTGGAAGTTAGAGGAACCGTATTATACTTTTTCCTGGGATGTTTGTTGAAGGAGGAAGATCCATTTTACAGATGAAGAAAGTGAAGCCAGGAAGACAGATTAGTTAGCTCAGCCTCACACAAGCAGGCAGAGCTTGGGCCAAAGCCTGGGTCCTCTGCTCCCGGCCCAGGATTCTCTGCTGGACACCAGGCAACCAGCCAAGCGTGCCTGTGCCCCTCTGCCCTTCTCCTGTTCCAGCCCCTCCAAGACTCTGAAGGCCTGACCTACTTCAGATTCTCTCCCCAAAGGCTCGCTCTCACCTCTCTCCACAAGGGTTAGCGATGCTGCCTTCCCAGGGTTCCCCTCCTGTTCTGGAGACGGGAGAGGGAGGCCTTGTTCCCTGCAAAGAAAGAACTGTCCAGGGTCGATGCCAAGGGCAGGCAGGTTCTGGGGCTCTGGCTCTTTTGGGTTCCCAGATCCCCCAGGTTGGTGCAGGAAGCCACTCATCAGGTTGTACCTCCGCAGAGCACACCCCTGGGGGTGCCTGCCCCACCTCAACAGCCCCAGAGAAAGGGCCACACCACCCCACCCTCCCTGTTCTCACAACTCAGAAATGATAGCAAAAAAACCCTCCACTTGGCATCCATTCTAAAAGCAGTGCTATTTTGTGCTCCTTTCCTGTTCAGAATAAATAGCAACATAACATTTGAACAGAAGGATGGGAGTGATTTCCACGTGAGCCCCTTACCCAGCAAGATAAGAAATAATTAATTGCCCAGATACCGTGAAGGGAGTGTCCCGGAGCCTCCTGCAGATGCCCTGACAGCGCCCGCACCTATTGTTGGCGCCATGTCCCAGGAATTGTGTCCTCCCTGTCCTCGTTGCCTGGCAGGTTCTTGCTGGGTAGAGCACAGTGCCTGCAGGGAGTGGGGAGGCCCCTGGCCCATCCCAAAGGTCTCCCCAGAACCCAGGGTCCTAACAATCTCCAGACAGCTCCAGGCAAGAAAGTCTGGTCATCCTGGCAATAACTGCCTTGCTGGCGCCTACGCTCTGCCCACAACCAGAGGGAGCGTCCTAAAAACATACACTTCATCAAGCCCTCTCTCTGTGAAACGCCCTCAGGATCCCATTCAGGACTGGGCGTGGTGGCTCACACCTATAATCCCAGCACTTTGGGAGGCTGAGACAGGCAGATTACTTGAGGTCAGGAGATCAAGACCAGCCTGGCCAACACAGTGAAACCCCGTCTCTACTAAAAATACAAAAATTAGCCAGGTGTGGTGACACATGCCTGTAGTTCCCAGCTACTCGGGAGGCAGAGGCATGAGAATCGTTTGAACCCAGGAGGTGGAGGTTGCAGTGAGCCGACATCACACCGCTGAACTCCAGCCTGGGCGACAGAGTGAGACTGTGTTTCCAGCAAAGGAAAAAGATCATGTTCAGATGGAAAGGTCTGGCTGGAGAGGCACTTCATGAGCCGGGCCCTGTGCAGCTTCCAGCCTCAATCCCAGCTCAGTTGCAAATGCCATTGTCTTTGTGCAGTCTGCTCCCCTGCTAGGCTGCCCTTTCACCCCCTATCTCCTAACCCATCTCCTTCCCAAGAGCTGTCCCTGCGCCTGGACTGCTCTAGAGACCTCTCCCAGGAGCTCCGAGTGTACTCTGTCACTTTGCAGCCACAGGACCTCATAAATGTACTGTTTCACACAGTGATACAGCAGCTTCTCACAAGTAGTCCATTCATGACACCTGGAAGCTTCACTGATGTACTACTGCAAGAGCCATGACTTACTGAGGCCCACAAGTTTGGGCTTCTCTAAGGAAAAGGACATATTTGATGCCACTGTAGGTCCCTAGCACAGCACCAGGAACAAAGTAGGTGCTCAGTAAATGTTGATTGAGGCCGGGTGTGGTGGCTCACGCCTGTAAACCCAGCACTTTGGGAGGCCAAGATGGGCAGATCACTTGAGCTCAGGAGTTTGAGACCAGCCTGGGCAACATGGGGAAACCCCGTTTTTACAAAAATACAAAAATTAGCCAGACGTGCTGGCATGCACCTATGGTCCCAGTTACTTGGAAGGCTGAGGCAGGAGGATTGCTTGGGCCTGGAAGGCAGAGGCTGCAGTGAACCAAGATCGTGCTACTGCACTCCAGCCTGGGTGACAGAGTGTTGATTGAAAAAATAAAAGAATGTATGGAGGTTGGAGGCCGGCCTGACTTCTCGCCTCGGTGGGCTGGGTCGGCGGCTGGAGCATTACCCCTACTGCGGGTCCCACTGCTGGCAGCGCTGGAAACTGAGTGGACGGCATGGGTTGGTCTCAGGATTTGTTCCGCGCCTTGTGGAGATCGCTGTCAAGGGAAGTGAAGGAGCACGTGGGCACGGACCAATTCGGGAACAAATACTACTACATCCTGCAGAACAAGAACTGGAGAGGACAAACTATTCAAGAGAAAAGAATTGTAGAAGCAGCAAATAAAAAAGAAGTAGACTATGAAACAGGGGATATTCCAACAGAATGGGAAGCTTGGATTAGAAGAACAAGAAAGACTCCACCTACTATGGAGGAAATACTAAAGAATGAAAAACACAGAGAAGAAATCAAAATAAAAAGCCAAGATTTTTATGAAAAAGAAAAACTCCTTAGTAAAGAGACCAGTGAGGAACTCCTGCCTCCACCAGTTCAAACTCAAATTAAAGGCCGTGCCTCTGCTCCATACTTCGGAAAGGAAAAACCCTCAGTGGCTCCCAGCAGCACTGGTAAAACCTTTCAGCCAGGATCCTGGATGCCACGAGATGGCAAGAGCCACAATGAATGAATGCATTATGGTCAAATCTTTTCACGTATATGGATGCGACTATTTTAGCAAATAAAAGAAGTGAAAAGTTAAAAAAAAAAAAAGAATGTATGAACAAAAGTCCATACACCTGAGACATCAATTTCTTTTTCTCATGTTACAGCTAAATTCAGGAGTAGGGTGGGCTCCATTTCCTAAGAAGCACTAAAATATCACCAGAATGTAAAGAGAGAGAGAAAAAAAGTATATTCAACAGGCCTCTTCTTAAGGACGAAACTGCATATTTTGCAAGGAATACTTCAGTAAACTACTTGGGGTGGATCAAGATGCAAAAGATGGCTGTTCCCTTCTAAGGAGACTGAGCCCATTTAATTGGAAGGCTTTTGCTTTGCTAAGTGGAGTTTGTAGGTTCAGGCTTGGAGTCAGGGTGCTCAAGATCACAGAGAAGACACGGGACCCTCTCCACCCTTCCCCCACACCACTCTGAAACTGCCAGACCAAGACACCCCATGTCTAGCCATTGCTCCCAGCCAATTCTACCAGGTCATCAAGGCCCAAATCCCAGGCCACCTCCTCCAGGAAGCCTTCCCTGATGTCTGGATGGAAATGTCTAAGTCTCCCTCCTTGCTCTCCCTTCTGGCTCTTATGCCAGTCTGTGGATGCCTCAGGCCTTGCATTACTAGAGGGTAAGGCTGTCTCCTTCACCTCTCTGCCCACAGAGGAACAGCACACGGCCTGGCAGAGATACCAAAGGGAATGGGATTTACTGAAGAAATTGCCGTCAGTTTGAATGAACCACACAGTATGAGAGGTAGGGCGCTGGCAGGAAGCAGAGGTGCCCCGTGGGGGGACATGGTGGCTTGGTTCTGGGCCTGGCTTCAGTGAAGAGGACATGGGACAGAAGAGGCCAGCATTTCTGCACATACTTCCTGCCTAAGGCTTATTAGATGTTACTTTTTAAAGAGGTGTTCCATGGTTAAGTAAACATGGGAGATACTGGGTTAAGTCAGGCTAACTAGGTACCTTTAGAGTGGAACAACTCAGAGTGTATGCATTGTGGATCTCTATGAGTGGACCAGGCTATGCAATGTTTCTCAAACTTAGTTGACTTAGTTGAACCCCTGGTTCAAGCAATTCATTGTTCCATGGAATACACTTTGGGAAATAGTGGAGTATACTGTCAAATCTAGGTGTATTTTAACAGTCTCCTTATTTTGCAGTGGGGGAGATAGGAGCCAAAGACGTGCTAGCAGAATCAGAGCAGAACCCAAGATACCCCCATCTCACCTTGACCTCAAAAGATTGCCCAGGGTGACAGAGTCCTTCAGAGGCTTCAGGCCAAAAGGATTAAGATAGCAATGTGATCTTCGAAGAGTCTCAGCTCCACCTGCACAGCCCATGGTGTCCCTAGGCAAGACCAGGGTCGCAATCTGAGTCCTAGACCCAGTTGGGTGCCCATTTGGAAGGCTGCAGGGGTTGGCATGGAGACTTCAGAAGTTTACTGCTCTTGGTTCACAGGATGGTGGCAGGAAACAAGACAATTCTCAGACCATTGCCTTGACCATCCCAGTATAGCTGAAGAGGGGTGTATGTGGTTGGGGGGAGGGGTGTTGTGTGTCTTGGCCTTCCTGAAGTTCTCTTTCTCTCCAGGGCACTTGAGAGGCTGGACAGGGATAAACTGCTCTTCAATAATAGGTTGGCATTTGGCTGTGTTGTGACACCTCTCGGCCATAATATCTGGTGGCCCCTTATGTTACCTTCTGTGCCCAGGACCTGGAAGAAGGGAGAGGGAAGAGCTTACAGCCACCCAGAAAACTCTCTAGGACCCATTCTAGAAAGCCTATTGAGGGCAGGATGTGAAGATCTCCCGTGGGCAGCGAGGGCAGCTCAGAGGCCCCACAGCAGAAGGCGGTTGAGCCAATCATGACATTGATGCAATAGAATCCTAGGTAACCAGAGACAGGGTGCAACAGGGAAAAGGCAGCCCCCCACCAGGAAGCACAGCGTGATGGTTAAACATGCAGGTTCTGGCTAACACTTGGCAGTGGAACTAAGGGCAAATATTAAACCCCCTACTGCCTCAGTTTCCCCATGGAGACAAGCAGATGATAATAATGGTTCCTATGCTCATGGTCGTTTGGCAGATTAAATCCATTCACTCCTCTGAACTATGTCTGACATGTGGTAAGCGTCTTGCATGGCCACTTCATGTACAGGCCCAGGCCCTGGAGCCTCAGCGTGGGCTAGGACCCCAGTCCTGCCACCATCTAGCTGAGCGGCCTTGCAGAAGCTGCATGATCTTCCCCATATCTCACTTTCCTTAGCTAGAAAATGGGATGATTAGGTGCCTGTAGAGCCATTGTTAGGCTTCAATGAGTTAATTCTTGTGAAGTGCTTGGACCCCTGCCCACGACATGATAAGCACTGAGCATGTTAACTATTATAATTTTATCAGTGACACAGGGAAATGAGGATACAAAATAATATGAAGTGAAAAAAAAAAATCAGAAGACAAAATAGCCCAGGCTCTGTTTCCCAGGCCACAAGAGCTGATTCCAGAAGCCTCTGGAGTTGAGCCAAGGAGAGGCAGGGGGCAGGGTGTGCAGAGCCACCCTCGCAGGCCTTTAGCTTCAGTCCTGGGGAAAGCCACACATCCTGGCACTCTGCTTACCGAGGGTGGCTCCCCACCCATCCGCTAAGCCACCACCTGGCCAGGCCTGGGGGCAGGCTCCCGGCTGTAAACCCCAGGGGTCTGAGTGTTGATTCCAAAGCACCTTCACCATTTTCCCCAGGGATGCTGTGGGCTAGAAACTTCTGCCTCAATGTCTCAGAGTTCCTGGGGAGGATCAGATGAGCCCCCAGTCCAGTGAATTCAAACCTTCAAAGTATGGACTTTAATAAGGACCAAAAGTCAGGTTAAAGGGATGTAGTTAGAGTCCCCTATTTGTTGGTTCTTTTTTTTTTCTGCAAATTTTCAAAACACCCCTTTGTGATCTCTTATTTTCTCTGTCCCCAGCTGGATGTGCAGTCTTGAAGGAATCCTACGCTTCATGAATGAGGATTTGACATCTGGCAGAGGTCTTTATGAACACATTTATGATCATCCTTCAAAGCAACCACATGAAATGGGCCAGGGGCTTGTTCTCTTTTAGCAGACAGACGGGTTGAGTCACCACAAGATGCTGTTATGGTTTAAATGTGTGGAGCTATATATATACATACACACATACACATGTATATATCAATCAAGCTATACTTATCCCCAATAACAGAGAGGAAAAATATATTATTAGAATAAGAGCCGCATATTTTGGAAAACTTACCATGTGCCAGAGACTGTTCTAATTATTTTATAAACATGTCTCTTGTGGTTTTCAAGATAACTATAGAAGGTAACTATTATTACTTTTTAACAAATGAAAGCAAACCTCAGGTTAAGTGACTGGCCCAAGGTCACACAGCAAGCAGTGACAGAGCTAAGTTGCGCTGGCTCTAAAGACCATGTGTTATCAACAGCGTCCTCCTGCCTTCTTATGAAATGGAATCCATATCAAACTGCTAAGCTTTGTTTTTAGCAAATAACATGACTGTCTGGGCTGTGGGCTTAAGGAACAGTGAGTTTGGGGGCAAAGGTCACCCTCTAATAGTGCTTCATAATATTTCTCCCAGAGAAAGACTCTGGAGCCAGGCAGATCTGGATCCAGATTCCAGTTCTGCCACTTCCTAGCTGTGTCCTCTCACTGAGCTCTCAGAGGCCTCCTTGGCCCGCATGCTCAGTGGAGTGTCTGGTTGGCCCCGCAGCCCTTGTGTCCAGATCTGCTGGGCGACACAGTGCCTGGCTGTGCCCTGCAGAGGCTTTCCTGTCCCTGGCTCCCATGCTTCCCCTGAGGAGAGCAGGCGATGGGTGTCAGCTTATGTGAGCCCTTTGGTTGCATGGATCGGGTGAAAAACAGACAGAGCTGAAGAATTTGAACTGAGATGTCAATTGTGGAGCAGGATTACTCATAGCAGCCACCGCCCACTAGGCCAGAACACCTTCGTTTAAACAAACCAACATCCCAGGGGACAGTGCCTGTTGAGCAAGCTGCTGAGAGCCCTTCACTAGTGCTGAGTCCTCAGGCCTGCAGGGGACACTCCACATCTGACCCTGCAGGAGAGCGGTGTCCAGGAGCAGGCACCTCAGATCCATCCAAGTCACACAGGGAGGCCAGAAGGGCAGCGGGGACACTGAACGCTCTACACGTCCTGAGGTCCCTGACCTCATAGGCTGGAGGGGAGCATTTGCTTTGTCTTGTGGAAAGTCCCCAAGTGGATGGGCTAACAATCGATTCCAGTTGCACCCACGCTGCTAACTCTGGCCATGTTTCCTATACTTCCGTTCCTGTGATCCATCTCTTGCCCCTTCCAGATCAGACAGTGACCTCCCGGGCCTCCTGGGGATGCAGTTGTCCTCCCTGCACTCAGATCTGGAGCTGCTGCTTCCTAGCGGAGGAGTCAGCCTACCGAGCCAGGCCGTTGTCAAGCCCTGAGCCCTCCCCACTTCCGCCTCTGCCCGCTTTCCTGTCCCAGCTGTGAGCCTCTCCGGGGACTCATTTAAACTGAAGACAATTGCCTCAGATAAAGAACAACTGGCCTCCTCCCTATGTGGCTAAAATTATCAAAAACCGAAGAGGGCGTTGCTGACCTCAGCCTTCCCCAGCCTTTCTCCTGCCTTGGTCCACTTGAATATCCCTCTGGGAGCCTGTGACAGCTGCCTACGTGGGACCCCACACAGAAACGGGGCTGAAGAAGGCAGTCCCAGCCTCGCAAGGCATTCAGTTCCTGCAGTGTCTGCAGCCAAATCCCAAGATAGAGCCAGTCTGCTTGGTTCCCTGGCCCCAGGTTTCTCAGAGCTCCTCCGGCAGCCCAGGAGGCTGAGCTGCACTGCCTGCATTTCCTGGCTTCACATCACGTACACATAGAGCTTGGGGCCCGGGCAACCATGGCATGGAAGCCCAGACCACCTAAATTCTTCCTTAGGACCACCAGTGCCATTGCCTCAGCCATAACCCCCTGAGACTCCTCGCGGACCAGCATGGCGACTGGTCCCACAACCATCTCCATGCCTGCTTCCTCTTCCCCATTCAAGCTTCTCAACATCTGTCATTCTTGGTGTTAGCTATATCCCAGCTCCTGTATTATTCCATTGCATCCAGAATGCTTTGAGGAAGGAATGTCATAGACCCCCTTTTTTAACCCCCTCTTCCCAGAGAGATGTGCTCAGGAATAGGTGCCCAACAGGAAGTATTTGATTGAGAGCTTATTTGTCCCTCCAGGAGATATTCAAGGAGAGCCCCCATCCAGACCCCAAGCGAGAAGAGCTACCGTGTCTCACAGGGCCCACAGCCCATCACCCACATCATCCCACGGAGGGCGGGGATTATGCCCAGTGTGCAGAAGGGTTGACAAAGGCCAGGTAGGGGAAGTGGCTGGCTCTGCTTACATGGACCCAAGACTCACTCCAGAACCCCTGACCTTCCGCTGAAGGATCTTTGCACCAACTCTCCTGGCCCCAGTGGGTCTGGCTCACCAGAAGTTAGGCCTGGAAGGGAGGAGGCTGGGTGGGGGGACATAGAAGGCAAAAGCAGCAGTGTCCTCACATGGAACTGTTCCTCCAGGTCCTTTCCCTGGGACCCCTCCCTGGAGAGCTCTCCCTGCTCTCTCTGGCTTCCTTTCCCTTCTGTCAACCCTAATAGCATAGGTTTTGGTGTCAGGCAGTCCTGCGTTGGAATCTCAGATTCCCAGGGACAGTCATGATTTATACGTGTTGTCCCGGTATACTAATACATCAAGGCTCCTTGTCACCCTCAAACATGCGCATTAGGACCATGCATCATGTGTCCCGCTTACAAAGACAGAAGGCAAGGTCTGTGGACAGCTGGAGGATGACCTAGTTAGGGAGCCTCTAGGAACCCATCTAGTTCTGCGATGGAGGGGAACAGAGAATGGGGTGTTTCCCTGATGACCCTGCTGTGGAGGAGCTGGCTGCTTCTGCAGGGAGATGCTGCAGCCCCAGAAGGAAGCCCTGGCCATGTGTCTCAAGTTGCTTTGCAAAACAAGCACCAGGAAAGAAAAACAGCATCTATATTTCCCTGAGGTGGGCCAGCATCCAGAGGCTGAAGGCACCTGGGGATAGGGACACTACATCACACACTTCAGGGGGTGCCAGTCATGTCACGGTCTGTGTGAACGGTGCCTCCTGGGAATGTACAGCTCCCAGCCTGCTCACTGCAAAGCAGGAATTGGTGAGCTGTGACTAGATGATGTCAGAGAGCAAGAATAAGTAAGGACCAGGAAAGCTACAAAATATAGAAGACTACATCTTTTTTAAATTAATTAATTAGTTAATTTATTTATTTATTTATTATGTTTTGAGACAGAGCCTTGCTCTGTTGCTCAGGCTGGAGTGCAGTGGTATGATCTCTGCTCACTGCAACCTCCATCTACCAGGTTCAAGCAACTCTCCTGCCTCAGCCTCCTGAGTAGCTGGGATTACAGGCGCTCATCACCATGCCCAGCTAATTTTTGTATTTTTAGTAGAGACAGGGTTTCACCATGTTTGCCAGGCTGGTCTCAAACTCCTGACCTTGTGATCCATCTGCCTCAGCCTCCCAAAGTGCTGGGATTACAGGCATGAGCCACCATGCCCAGCCGAAAGCCTACATCTTTAAGGAGAGGAATCATTCTGTCTGGGGAGGAACTCCTTTAAATCAGTTCAACTCAACTCATATGAACAAATATTGATCATGCAATTACTGTGCGCTCTGCTGGGCAAGGCCATTATGGTGGGGGTGGCGGTGGGGTGATCAGGCATCCTGATCAGGCAGGGGTGATCAGGCAGGCGGTGGGGTGATCAGGCATTGAGAAGCTCATAGGACAGGAGGGGAGTGCGCAGGGTCTGTCCCTTCCTCTCCCCAGGCAGAGTGGAACTAAGGCAGGAGGAGGTGCAGGGCAGGATGGGAACAGGGGCGGGGTGTAGGGTAGGGTGTGTTGGCTCAGCCAACACTGTTCACGTTTCACAGAACAGGGGCACACACACTGGGGCCCCTGAGTGGTTTGGGTGTAGTGGTACAGATATTCAGGGGCAATCATCATAGCCACAGAGCCAGGGCTCTTGAGAGCTGGATCAGCATCCAGGAATCCCAGTGTCTAGGAATCCAGCAACAGCCCAGGGCCAGATAATAAAGAGTGCTGAGTTCCAGGCTGAGTTTGGGCTCGATTTGGGAGGCTGTGAGGAGCCTTGCTCTGTTTCTGAGGAAAGGAGTGACTCGATCCGATTCCTGAATAGCTTGGGAGAACTGGGGCTCCCACCTATGCTGTTCCCCATGCCCTCCCCTCAGATGGCTGTCCCCTGCTCGTTCCTTTGTCAATGAGATGGGGGCTTAAACCAGAAGTGACCTTGAGTCCTGCACAGCACAAGCCATGGCAGACTAGCTTCCAGGAGGAGAGAGCCTGTGGCCCAGGCTGCGGCAAGCCCTCCCCGACCCGCAGTCTGCAGGACTTGCTCCATCCTAGCAGAGAGTGACTTTCTCAGGGAGGTGGCTCAAGGCCACTTGGACATACTAACCAGGGCCGGTGTCAAATGGGTAGAGACGAGCCTGGAAGGAGCTAAGAGAACTGATGAACTTTTCCACTGCCGTTTGCTCCAGCAAGCAGGTGGAACTGAGGCTGGTGGAGATGCAGGGCAGGGGGTGCAGGGACCATTTGATAGCAATAAAACGCACTTAAATACATTGCACGGTGTGTTAGTAGCCTGTGGCTGCTGTGACAGATAACCACAAACCGAGTGGCTTAAAACAACAGAAATTTATTCTCACAACTCTGGAGGCCAGAAGTCCAAAATCAAGGTGCTGGGAGCACCTTACTCCCACAGAGCTCCAGGGAAGAATCCTTCCTTGACTCTTCCAGCATCTGGTGGCTTCAGGAGGTCTTTGGCTCATGACTGCAGACCTCTAATCTTACCTCTGTCTTCACATAACCGTCTCTTCTCTGTGTCTTTTTTTTCTTCTGTCTAAGGACACTTGTCTTTAGATTTAGGGCCCATCTGGATATTCCTAGATGACGTCATCTCAAGATCCATGACTTAATTACATCTGCAAAGACTCTTTTTCTTTTTTATTTGAGACAGGGTCTCGCTCTGTTGCCCAGGCTAGAGTCCAGTGGTGCAATCTCGGCCCACTGCAACCTCCATCTCCCAGGCTCAAGAGATCCTCTCACCTCAGCCTCTTGAGAAGCTGGGGCCACAGGTGTATGCCACCACTCCAGGCTATTTAGAGATGGGGTCTCAGCATGTTGGCCAGGCTGGTCTTGAACTCCTGAGCTCAAGCAGTCTGCTCACTTCGGCCTCCCAAAGTGCTGGGATTATAGGTCTGAGCCACTGTGTCAGGCCTAAAGATCGTTTTTCTAAATAAGATCGTATTCACAGGTTCTGGGGCTTAGGAAAGGGACATATCTTTTTGGGGACCACCATGCAACCCACCACATACATAGGCTTTGGAATCAGCGAGAGTCAGGCTGAAAACCTGTCTTAACTACTTACTTGTTGGTCTTGGGCAAGTTTAATAATCTCCCTGAACCTCCTTTCTTTGTGCTTAAAATAGGAGTAATGATATCTATTCATACAGTTGCTATGAGAATCAAATGAGAGATGGCTGCTTGGCATACAGTGCACACTCAGTGAATGGTATCGATGACAATGATGACAATGACAATGATGATGACAAATTGACTCAGAGAAGTGAAGAGATTTGCACAAGGTGGCACAGCTTTAAGTGGCAGAGCCAGAGTTGGAACTCAGATCTACCTCCCACCAAGGCCATCCTCTTCCCATATGACCTGTCTCCTTGCTATCTCTGTGGTAGTTGCAGCCTTGCTATGTTGGCTTGTTCCTCAACGGCATCTTATGCTGGTCTGACGTATCCCAGAGACTGTGGAGTGAACCACATCTTCCAGTGGAGTGAATAGTTGACTTTTGTCCCCAAACAGTGATATCAGGATCAGAACTTGGCCTCGAGTTGTTCCACGGGCAAGAGGGGACATCAGGCTCTGGCCTCCCCTTGGGTAGGAAGCTACTGGTCACAGCATCACTGTTAGGGGGTCACTGACCATTTGCCACGTGGCGGGCATGAGATGCGCTCTTTCCAAGTGCTATCCCACCAAGCCTGCCCCATCCCTGTGGGAGAGGGACAGCATCCCATGTGGGGTTTAACGCAAGGAAACGAGGCTTTCTCTGCATTCAGGGCAGCAGCCTCATCTTGGATTATACGGTGCCACTGGCCCACCGTGAAAGAACTGGTGTCTGCAAAATAACGGCAGGATTAATTCCTCCATCTCTGAATCCTTTCAAAACCCGATCCGCCCTTCCCCTAAAAAAGATCCAACTGACTTTGATCTTGAAAGCCCCTGCCATTCCGATTTCCTGTGCTATCTGCATGGCTTTAACCAGAGGGCATTGTTGCTAGTGCAGTTGCTACTTACAGTGTTGCTGGGCTTGTTCTGAACCCTGGGGAAGAGAGGACATGGGCTTGGGCTTCCATCTTTGGTGGGATAATGGCCTAATACATTCCGAGTCCCGGTGGAGGCTGCTGCTGATCCCTGGGGAGGGGTCTGGTCCTGGCTTCTCCAGGACTGTGCCTGAGGTGCCAAGGCAGAGACAGGCCTTGACTGGGGCCTGGCTGGATCCTGAGGAAGCTCATTAAGGAACAAATTTATTACCTAAAAAGAAAATTGGTGGAAGGGGTAAGAAGTGGAAAGGACAATAATGTTTCCCTTCTAGTGAAACATGGAACAGTCCTGGCAGCAGGAAATGGGAAAAAAGCAAAGCTGAATGAGTGGGCATCATAGCAGGAAGCGGGATGAGGAGGGAGGCAGAAAGGCTTCCTGCCAAGGTGACTTCCAGGTACAAAGCCCTCCAGCCACAGGAGGTGCAGAGCTGTGTCCTCTCCTCCAGGGGGTTCTCAGAGACACAAGGCTTAGGTGGAGGGAGCAGGAGCCCGCCCTATCTGTCAATCAGCAAACTTTCACCAGATGCCCTGTTTGTGGCCAGCACTGCGCTACCCCAGGAGACAGGAATTGTCAACCCCCAGGCCCCACCATCTAATATCCAGGGCCACTTTTCTTTGTCCATTCTCCTCTTCCTCACTTTCCATCCTGGCCAAGTCCAAACTCAGCCCAACTCAATGGCCAACCTGACAATGGTTCAAGAATGGGGACAGCTCCTTCTCCCTGGGCCTGCCCACATCTGAGACCATTCTTGAGCCCCTCTTTACTGAGATGGTATACTTGGCTGCAGCAGTCAACAAAGGGGGTTCAGGCAGGGCTCCCTCTCTGTGGCAGTTGCTTAATTGGCCCATCACACCAGGCTCTTCCATGGGCACAGGCCAGGATAGGGGTTCTCCTGCCATGGGGATCAGTGAGGATAAGGCATCTGTCTTAGTCTGTTTTTACTGCTTTAACAAAACACCTTAGGCTGAGTAATGTGTAAAGAACAGAAATTTATTTCTTATAGTTGTGGAGGCTGGGAAGTCCAAGATCAAGGCACCAACAGAGAGGTGAGGAAGCTCTCTGTTTTCAAGATGGTGCCTAGTTGCTGTGTCCTCACATGGAAGGAAGATGGTGGAAGAGACTCCCTTCAACCTCAAGTCCTTTTACAAGGGTGTTAATGCCATTCATGAAGGCACAGCCCTCATGATTTAATTACCTCCTAGAGGCCACAAACCTTAATACTGTTGCATCAGGGATTAAGTGCCAATATCAATTTTGGAGGAGAGACCATTACTCAAATCATAGCAGCATCGTTTGCCATTGGATACTCATTGTCCCCCTTATGATCTGAGAAACATTTTAGTCTTTGGAGAAAGGGGACCATTGTTAATGGTGCTCCAAGGCAGAAGACCTAAGATTCCTTGTAAAATGTTGATCTCAGAAGTTCATTTCACTCTTAAATCATTTCAAAAACTCCCATTCTTCCCAGGATAGCCTGGTCTTCTCAGTGTAGCTTACAAGCCCCAGCACAATCCACCCTTTGCCACTCCAACAGAACCCTGCCACTCCACGTGCTCCCTGTCCCCGCTGCAAGCTTGAATCAATTGCTGAATTCTGAGTAGGCCATGCTTGTTGGTTCTAATGCACCTTTGCACAAGCTGTTCCCATCCCCACAACACTCACATCCTTGTCTGTCTAAAAAACTTTTTTTCATCTTCAAACACTCAACTCAAACTTTAGCTCTTCAATAATGTAGTAGAGGATGCTCATGGATGGAGGCCTAGAATGGAGTGTCCCTTTGGAGCTTTGTATCTCGACTTCTGTAAAATTATTAGAGGTAATCAGGGAAATAAATAGGCCAGGCACGGTGGCTTACGCCTGTAATCCCAACACTTTGGGAGGCCGAGGTGGGTGGATCGCCTGAGGTCAGCAGTTCGAGACCAGCCTAGCCAACATGGTGAAACCCTGCCTCTACTAAAAATGCAAAAAAAAAAAAATTAGCTGGGCGTCATGGGGCATGCCTGTAGTCCCAGCTACTCCAGAGACTGAGGCAGGAGGACCGCTTGAACCTAGGAGGCGGAGGTTGCAGTGAGCCTAGATTACACCACTGCACTCCAGCCTGGGTGACAGAGTGAGACTTCGTCTCAAAAAAATAAAAATAAAGAAATACATAATAAATGAACCTAAGTGTGTTTAATTGTCCAAGTCCAAGGTAAGTGCTCCAAATGTACACATACTTAAAGTATAAGTGTATTAAACTGTTAAAGGGGTGGCATGCAGAGCACAGATGTTTGAGTCTCTCCATCCAAAAAACAAAAGAACAAAAAGTAACAATTATTAAGGCATTTAAATAAAGTACCCCATAAGCAGGTGCCTAGGCTGTCCACTGATTGACCCCCATATGGGGGTGAGGAGGAGAGACCCAAATGTTTCTGGGGTGCTGGGACCATTCTAAAATCCACTGACCAGGATGCTCTAGGAAAATGAGTGGCGTCCACAGTCCCCTGCTTGATGTTTGGCTTTACTGGGTGGGGTGAGGGCCTAGAAGCTGGTGGGAATGGGGGTGTTAACAGTGAAGGCCTTTCCTGAAGAAGGCAGAGGGTCTCTCTAGCTTCTTTCCCTCCAAACAGCACTCCCCACCCTCCCGCCCTGCCCTGCCCTGGTGTTCCTGCCAGGCCCGCAATGAGAGCTGCTCATTGGCCTCCTTCTCTGGCTCTGCACTGAGCCAAGAAGGATCGGTCAGGCTTGCAGCTGAAGGGGAAACAAAAGCTGTTTTCATGAAAGACGGTATTGATTCTGTTTTTAAAAAGGACGAAACCCCACTTCTGAAATGAGTCACTGTGGGAAGGATTTGAAATGTGACATTTTTCTTTTCATCTCTTCCTTTCCTTCTGAAATTTCAAAGTTGAGCCTGGTAATGGAAGTAGGTAAAGATTTAACCAAGTAAGCCTTTAGGACATTCCTTCCCGCTCCCCCGCCCTTTATTTATTAACTCTCAAGAACCATGTGGCACAAACAAAAGTGCTTGAGGTCTGAGTGCCAAAAGACCTGGATTGAGGTCCCAGGTTCACACGACCTGGAGGCTTTCTTCCTCCATGGGGCACCTGCAGTATCTCTGGGGGTGCCCAGCCCTTCTGGGGTCTCCAGCAAGCACCCTGATTCTGACCCATGCAGGGGACAGGCAGTGAGCAGGATGACAGGCTTGCCTGGCTGAGGAAGCCAGCCCATGGCACCTGCTCATGCCAGGAGGCACATCTAAGATGCCCCGCAGCTCCACAGACCACTTCAGCCAGCTGGGGATGCGGAGGAGAACAGAGTGGCCTCCTCCCCCGAGCTGTGTTTGTGGGGCTGTTTGATGTTTCCCTAAATAGGTATCAGATTGAACATTTTGAAAGATCCCACCTTATGTAAGTGTTACCCTCTAAAATAGAAACTCTACTTCATATTATTTTCAGCTTTCTATGAAATGAGCCTCAGATCCCTCCAAGAGCCCTTTGTCTAAGGAAGAGGGGGCTGGGGGTGGGAAGGCAGAGATCCAGGGAGATTGAGGTTGTTTGCCTGTTTTTAGAATCACAGACTCCCCAGGTTGGAAGGACCCACACAGTCATTTCCGACAGTCCTCTGGCTCCAGGAAGGACCATCCTTGAAACTGAGTAGGAGAAGGGCCTGCTCCCACTCTAATAAGTTAGAGTTAGGTTCCTGTGGCCTACGGGTGTATTGGCCTCTTTGTACACAACCAGCAGGATTCTCGCTGCTATGGGCTGAGGGTGCACAGACTCTGCTCTCACCATCTTCATCTGCACTGGGCTCGAGCTATCTAACCTCACCACTGCCACCTCTTCATCCCTCTGCAGGGATGTGCTGGCACTTCCCTCTGCCCTGCTCCCACACTGTAAACCCACAGTGCCAGGTAGATGGCAGGTGCTTAATCAATACTTGCTGGGCTGAATCAGTCCATGCACTGACTAGCCTGCCCAGTTTCAAAGCCTCTCCGTGGCACTTCCCAGTGTGCCCGCCACCTCTGAACCCCCCGTGCCTGGTTAGCACTTCTAACTGCTTCTAAGCTTTGTCCCACCATCAAGCTTCCAAGAGCTTTGCCATCAGCTGAGCAAAGAAGAAGCTCCAGAGCCGCCTAAAACCCAGTCAATTTCAAACAGGAAAGGCCTCCATCTGGTGCCACTCTTGGAAGACACGTGACTTCTTACCTTTCTTGCCTGGCTCCAGGCAGAGGATACTTGGGGACACCTTCACACACTACCTCTCCCGCCCAACCCTGCTCATGTCCACTCCCAACAGGTGGCTGGGTGTGTGCGCATCTGAGACACTCACCTGCTCTTTTCCTCTCTGACTGTCGGGTGACCCCTTAACCTTGCCATCACAGGGTGTCCAACCCGGGGGGATTCTGGCTGCTGTGCTCTCATGCTGCTGTTAGGATTCACTGCAGGGCATGTGAGTCACATGACCAGGGAGGGGAACAGCAGAAAGGAGTCTGCTATGGTTTGGCTGTGTCCCCACCCAAATCTCATCTTGAATTGTAGCTTCCATAGTCCCTACGTGTTGTGGAAGGCACCCGGTGAGAGAGAGCTGAAAACATGCAGTTTCCCCCGTACTGTTCTCATGGTAGTGAATAAGTCTCTCAAGATCTGATGGTTTTATAAGGAGTTTCCCCTTTCACTTGGCTCTCATTCTCTTCTCTTGTCTGCCGCCATGTAAGACATGCCTTTCGCCTTCTGCCATGATTGTGAGACCTCCCCAGCCACGTACACCTGTGAGTCCATTAAACCTCTTTTTGTTTATAAATTACCCAGTCTTGGGCTTTATCAGTAGTGTGAAAACTGACTAATACAGAGCCCTTACCTCACACTCAGTCAGGGCACGGCCCCAGCGCCTGCCTTCCCTGACTATGCGTCACTGCAGGGAAACATGCATTCCAGAGGGCTCAACAGGAAACCAGAGGGATGAAGTCAGAAGCGGGAGGGGCTTCCAATTTGACTCCCAGTCCTAGCCCCTGCCTGGCTGAGATACCCTGAAAAAAACAGCAGCACTCCCCTGCCTCAGTTTCTCTGTCTGCAACAGGGGAGCACAGAGAATTTTTCAGATGGCTGAAGTGTGGCTGACTCATGCTGTCTTCTGTCCCCAGACTGACCCCAATTGGGCCATCATCTATGCGGAGGTCTGTGTAATGAGTTTTTTTTCCTCCTAATAGGAATGCTCCCCCAACAGGACTATCTGTGCCCTTGAACTGCTCTTCTTGAGTCCTTTGTGGCAGTGCCATGTGATAGGTGTAGACCATCTTTCCCCCTGGAGCATGTGCTCTGTGAGGCCCCCAGTGTGTTCATGGCTCTGTTTACAGGACCTAGAAGAATGCCTCATGCACACTGGGTGCTCGATATATATTTGCTAATGGAATAGGTGGTGCTTCCTGATGGAGCAGTCACCGTCCTTGGGTTGGCTGGGGGCTGTCCTGATTACCCACCTCAAGCTTGACTATAGAGAAAACCAAACCAGCCCCAGGGAACTCAGACCTGAAGGGGCTTCCAGTGGTGGGGCCAGACGGCTACATGGAGAGCTAGAAAACAGGTGTCAGAGAGAAGTACCTCAGCAGGAGCACACAGCTCTCAGGAAACACGAAGCAAGGTGTCAGGGAGGAGGTGGAAAGGGACTGGATGCAGAGGAAGGGCAGGCTGTGTTCAGGCGACGCGTTTGTGGGTGGCATCCAGGTGCCAGGCTGCCTGTGTCCTGTGGCTGCCACAACAAACCACCACAAACTTGGTGGCTTGCAGCAACAGAAAGGTGCCGCCTCACAGTCAGAAGTCCAAAGGCAATGTGTCATCCAGGCCAGTCCTTTCTGGAGGGTCTGGGGGAGCACCCGCTTCATGTCCCTCTCCTTGCTTCTGGAGCTTTCTGGCAGCCCTTGGTGTCCTTGGCTTGAGGGCATCACCCCAGCCTCGGCCTCTGTTTTCACATGGCCTTCTCCCTGTGCATCTCTGGGTCCCTGTGTCTTTACATGGCTGTCTTATAGGTCATTCGTCATTAAATTTAGGGCCCACCCCAACTGGTACAACCTCATTTTAACTTGATTATATCTGCAAAAACTCTATTTGCAAATAAAGTCACTGTCACAGGTACCAGGGATTAGGATCCCAACAGGTCTTTTGAGGGGAACACAGTTCAAGCCACAACACAGTCACAGCAGGTAGAAGGGATGGTATGGGCAAAGGGTCCTGAGGCTGGCAATGTCCCCAGGCGTTGGAGAGCATGAAAAGTCTGCTGTGGCTGGGGCACAGGGAACTGGGAGACAACAATGAGGACGGACGGATAAATGGGGGAGATTATAGAGAACCTTGAGTTCTCAGCTAACGGGTCTGAACTTTTTCAGCAGGTAAGTGGGAGCCACAAAAAGGTTTTTTTTGTTGTTGTTTGTTTGTTTTGAGATGGAGTCTTGCTCTGTCACCCAGACTGGAGTGCAGTGGAGCGATCTCAGCTCACTGCAACCTCCACCTCCCGGGTTTAAGCAATTCTCCTGCCTTAGCCTCCTCAGTAGCTGGGATTACAGGCACCCGCCAATATGCCAGGCTAATTTTTGTATTTTTAGTAGAGACAGGGTTTCACCATGTTGGTCAGGCTGGTCTTGAACTCCTGACCTCAAGTGATCCACCCGCCTCGGTCTCCCAAAGTGCTGGGATTATAGGCGTGAGCCACTGTGCCCAGCCCACAAAAGGGTTTTGAGTGAGGGTTGGTGAGATGTGTGGAAGAAAGATCACTCCAAGGCAGGCAATGAGGAATGCAGAGTGGAGGGGGCCGCGTGACCCTGGGAGACCCACTGGGAAGCTGTCGAGGCAGCACAGATAGCAGGGTGGGAGTGGTGGGGAGGGAAGGAGGCCAAGTGCAGGAGAAACAGAAACCAACATAGTGTTGTTTGGGGAAACGGGGAGGAAATTGTGTGAAGAAAAAAAGACCCTCAATAGGATGGGATGATGCTTAATCTGATAAAACGGTGGCATTTACATTTCAGATCTTTCTTTTTTTTTTTTTTTTTTTTTTTTTGAGGTGGAGTCGCCCTCTGTCACCCAGGCTGGAGTGCAGTGGTGCAATCTCGGCTCACTGCAACCTCCACGTGCTGGGTTCAAGGGATTCTTGTGCCTCACCCTCCCGAGTAGCTGGGATTACAGGTGCGCACCACCACACCCAGCTAATTTTTGCACTTTTAGTAGAGACAGGGTCTCACCATGTTGGTCAGGCTGGTCTCAAACTCCTGCCCTCAGGTGATCCGCCCGCCTCAGCCTCCAAACGTGCTGGGATTACAGGCGTGAGCCACCGCGCCCAGCCACATTTCAGATCTTGATTCCATGTTTGTTCAGCTCTGAGGCTTATGCCTTTGGGAAGGTCCAGGCAGAGCATGCAGCCCAGGTCACCCTCGGGACATGATGGCTTTCAGCGTGGCTCCTGGTGGCTGTGGTAGAAGAACGGGAGCCCTGAGGGGATAGAGCTGCAAATCTCTAATGGCAGCTCCCGCCATGGCGGAGTTGGGGTGGTGAGGGGGGCCGTAGGGCCCAGAAGCCCCACTTTGGGGTAGCAGTCTCTGGGTTGAGTAGTCAAGGCCTGATGATCCAGGGGACCCTGTCAGCTTTGGGGGCTCAGTGAGAGGCCGGCTCTGACCACTCGGGGTGGAGGGGAGAGGCCATTCCTGGGTAGACAGCTTGCTCCTGGTAAGTGAGCCACACAGGACATAGCCATGCATCCGCCATGCCTGTGGTGGCTGCCAGCTGAGCCTCACACACATGCCCCAGAGGCAGGGGCTGGAAACTGGGGGCATCCTGTCCACTCCCAGCCACCCTGGTTCTTCTTCCCCATGTGCTCCTCTCCTCTCCCATGCAACTGAACGGTCCTCACGGTTGCACCTTCATGCTGGCCTTTCTCTCTAGGTAAGGGGGAAATTACACCAGCTGAACGTAATTCCCTGCACAGCAAGTTGGGCCTATTGACTCATTGTTCTTAAAAAGGCAGAACAGACTGTGGACATGGGGCCTGAGAGAAAGTGAGAGGCAGAAAGACACAGCAATGGGGAGGGCGGTTCACCGGCCCTCCCTCCTGCATCCACAGGCGGTGGGCTAAGGGGCTCTTGCCCGATTTAGAATTGTGCGCCCCAGCCCTGTAGACTCTCCCCTGTGCCCCGTAACTCTACCCACTTACTCATTCATGAAATAACCTAACCTAAAGCACCTACGATGTGCCAGGCCCTGTTCCAGGGACTAGGGACACAGCAGTGAACAAGACAGGCAGGTGTCCCCTGTGCAACTGTCACTCGGTGGGAGTTGTCAGAGCCAAGTCTACAGAGAAATGAATACCGTCAGACAGATCAGGCAGCAGGCAGCAGTGTGAGGAAAACTAAGCAGGGTGACACGGTAGAGAGGGACTGGGGGGCAGGTTTGGAGGGTGCTTCCGACCTGGGTAATCAAAGCAGACCCCTCTTAAGAGATGACCTTTGAGAGGTAGCCTAAATGAGACGTAGGCCCCCACTGCATACAGATCTGGGGCACAGAGAATAGCAAGTGCAAAGACCCCAAGACACTAAGAAGCTTGGCAGGACTGAGGAGCAGAAGGGAACCGGGGAGAACAGGAGGAGATAAGGTCAGAGGTGAGAGGTCAGAAAGGGAGCGGGGTAGGCCTACTAGCCATGAAAAGATTTTGCATTTTGTTTTAAAAGCAATGAGAAGCCACTGGCAGGTTTTATTCAGGAGGATTGTTCAATGGGAATTAATCTTTTTAATAAGCTAACTCTGGAGGCTGAACGGAACATGAACATGGAGGGGAGTTGAGGGGGGTTGTATGGGGGTGCAGAATCAAAACAGAGAGGCCCTTTAGGAGGCTGGTGGAGGCTGGTGAGTGGGGTGAACAGTGACAGGACTTCAGCGTGGGATGGTTGAATTGATGTGGTGAGAAGTGACCAGGTCTGGAGCGTATTTAGGAGGTAAGGTTAACAGAACTTGCTGATGGATTAGATTTGGGGAATGAGGCATATAGTGGGTTAAATAGCATCCCCCCTACCCAGATTCACATCTACCCAGAACCTCAGGACAAGGCCTTCTTTGGAAAAGGGTCTTTGCAGAGGTAATTAGGTCAGAACATGGCCTTCTTTGGAATGAGGCATGTAGTGGGTTAAATAGCATCCGCCCCGACCCAAATTCACATCTACCCAGAACCTCAGAACAGAGCCTTCTTTGAAATAGAGTCCTTGTAGATGTAATTAAGATAAGGTCGTACTGGATCAGGGTGGGGCCAAGATGCCACCTCAGCTCCTGGCACATCTTCAGAATTCCAGGCAGGAAATGGCAGGAAGGGACAAGAGCCAGGTTAGCCCCCTTTGCTCTTTTTCAGTTTTTGTTTGTTTGTTTGTTTTTTGAGACAGGGTCTCGCTCTGTCACCCAGGCTGGAGTGCAGTGGCCCCATCACAGCTCTCTGCAGCCTCAACCTCCCAGGCTCAAGGGATCCTCCCACCTCAACTTTCCGAGTAGCCAAGTAGCTAAGACTACAGGCGTGTGCTAGCATGCCCGGCTAATTTTCGTATTTTTAAAATAGAGACAGGTTTTCACCATGTTGCCCAGGCTGATCTCAAACCAGGCTGAGCTGGGCTCAAGCAGCCCTCCTGACTAGCCTCCCAAATTGCTGGGATTATAGATGTGAGCCACCTCGCCCGGGCTTTCCCTTTTTTTTTTTTTTTAATGAGAAGAGCTAAGTCCTCCCAGGAGCCGCCAGCTCACTCCCTGTTACGTCTCATTGGCCGGAGCCGTGCCACGTGGCCACCCCCACCTGCACTACACAAGAGGCTAAGAAAGTGAGACTGCTGCCTCTCCAGCCCTGAGAGCAGGGTGTGGGAGGGGAAACGATGGGAATGAAGGTTGGCTCATCTGTCCTATAGTCTGCCACAAGCACGACTATGGCTGGGAGCCTTCTGCCTGGATGTGTTGGTTTCTTTTCAAAATTCCTCCTCCCCCAAATTATCCCACAACAAACTTGCAAGGCAGAAAGACCATACATGATTCATTCTCGTTTGACAGGTGAGGAAACTGAGACCTGAAGCTCAGAAAGGGCGCACCCACAGTCACAAAGAGTCCATGGCAGGGCCAGCCCTGCCCACAACATGCCCAATAAAATATATAATCCTCCAAGACAGATCATCATTTCTAATATACACCCTTGCACTGGGGCAGGTATGATAGTGGGAGGGCTCCTCCCAGCTTGCAAAGACCAACGACGGGGACCTGAGGGCAGCAGTCCTGCTCCATTCCACAGAGGGATTTAGTCCAGGCATTTGCTGCCACTTGATAGGCTAAGTGCTTAACTGAATTAGTGCAAATTCCTGCTGTCTCTGTGCGTTTGAGTTGTCTATGTCATGGGCTGACTTGGCAGGTCAGAGAGGCGAAGGCAGGAGAGGCAGCAGTAAAGACTCACCGAACCTCTGTCTGTGCTGTGGGAGGCCTTTGCTCAGTGTGTCCTCATGAGTGTTCTTGGCCTGGGGTCAGGCTCCAGGCAGGGCCTGGTGCGGAGGGCATGGTGGGTACCTGGTGAGGCCCAGGACACTGCCCAGCTACTCCAGACCACTCTCACATGATCCTTTCTGGTCTGTGAGGTCAGGGCAATGCCACCTGCTTGGCCTGGCAAAGTCAAGCAAGGAGCTCAAAGGCACTATGCCAGTGGGTAAGGGGGAGTGGCTCCATCAGGAAGATGTTTGGGTCTGCATGGTGCAGCTCCCAGGTGGGAAGAGGCTTCTCTCATGCCCCTGGCCAGCCTCCAGTCCAGCCTGGCCAGCAAAAGCTTCTCTGCATAAGGACAAGAAAGGATTCAGAGGACAAAGGGGACTCAAAATTTATTATCTAAATATCATCAGAGAGCATGGTGCCTTGCCCTTGGCCCTACTAAGAAGAGAAAGTGTTTTTTCTGTTCATGGCATTGCACAAAAATTGGCTGGTTTACGCCTTGGTCAGACCATGCTAACCTTGACTTTGGGAAGGAGTTTATGTAAAAAATCACTGGAGGTGGGCCGGGCGTGGTGGCTCACACCTATAATCCCAACACCTTGGGAGGCCGAGGCAGGCGGATCACGAGGTCAATAGATCGAGACCATCCTGGCCAACATGGTGAAACCCCATCTCTACTAAAAATACAAAATAAAAATATTTTGTATTTTAAAAATAAAAATACAAAAATTAACTGGGCATGGTTGCGCCAGTGTAGTCTCAGCTATTCGCGAAGCTGAGGCGGGAGAATCGCTTGAACCCAGGAGGCGGAGGTTGCAGTGAGCCAAGTGAGCACCGCTGTACTCCAGCCTGGTGACAGAGTGAGACTCCATCTCAAAACCAAAACAAACAAACAAAAAATCACTGGAGGTGAACTTGGCTGAGACATTGTCATTTGTTAACCAATTCTGTTTTTTTTTTTTTTTTTTTTTTTTTGAGACGGAGTCTTGTTCTGTCACTCAGGCTAGAGTGCAGTGGCACAATCTCAGCTCACTGTAACCTCTGCCTCCCAGGTTCAAGCGATTCTCCTGCGTTAGCCTCCTGAGTAGCTGGGATTACAGGTGTGTGCCACCACACCCAGCTAATTTTGTTGATGTTGTTGTTGTACTTTTAGTAGAAACAGTGTTTCACTGTTTTGGCCAGGCTGGTCTCAAACTCCTGACCTCAGGTGATCTACCAGCCTCGGCCTCCCAGAGTGCTGCGATTATAGGCGTGAGCCACCACGCCCAGCCTTGTTAACCAATCCTTATTTTCTGGGCACACAGTGGGACAACGTTTCCCACCCTCCTCCACAGTTAGATGGGGTCCATGCAATTAAGTTCCAACCAACGGAATAATGTGTTAACCACTGAGATGTGAGGTTGTTTATTCTAGCAATAAGACCATCCTGAGTTAGTAACAATGACATTTGGGAGTTCCAGGTGGGAACCACCCAACTTCAGAAACTCCATCATTTTTTGAGAGGCACTAGGGTGTAGAGGCTTTGGAGTAAGGTGTGGCTGGATTCATATCTTTGTTTTGCAACTTACTAGCTGTGTGACCTCAGGCAAGTTACTTAACCTCTCTGAACCCATTTCTCCATCTGTAAAAAGGGAAAAATCTAACACTCACAAGGGTGTTGTAAAAATTCAGTTAGGTAATGCACATAAAGTGCTTAGCATGGAGCCTGGCACAGAGATTAGCCTATAAATAGTAGTTGCTGTTATTTTACTGAATTGAAAATAGTTTAAAAGATAAATTAGTTTAAAACTTTTATCTGTCTGTTTAAAATTGTATGATTTGTTTCATAAATAGCATAAATGGAAACTGAGACAAAAGCAAGCAATCTCTCAGCTTCCATAAAACCCTGGACTAGGTCACCAGACTGGAAGTTCAAAATAAACTGATTTAGTAGCAGCTTATCCTCAGTTGTCCAGAGAGGCAGAGCAGGGAGCTTGGCTCTGTAACTGGATTGAGGGCAGCCTGATCCTGGCCACTCCACACTGTGGGTGGTGGAGTTGCTGGAGGCCACAACGGGTGGCCAAGGCCATCCAGACAGGCCCCTATGGACAGGAAAGAGTCTACTCTCTGGACTGGATCCTTTCAGTCTTGACTTCACGACAGCTGTGGTTTTCTAGTCCTGTGACTATATTATCACTGTGTGTCATTTGAGCCATTCTGATGGGACTGTGGTGATGCCTCTGTGGTTTTGATTTACATTTCCTGGACGGCTAATGATGACGGACGTCTTTTCATGTGCTTATTTTCCATCTCCATATCCTCTTGTCTCAAATGTTTTTTATCCATTTTCTAATTGGACTGTTTGGGGGTTTTTTACCTGTTGAAATTTAAGAGTTCTTTCTATATTCTAGACAGTAGTCCTTTGTTGGACAAGTGGCTTGCAAACACTTTCTCCCAGTTTGCAGTTTGTCTTTTCACCATTTTAACAAGGTCTGTCACAGTTTTCATTGTGACGAGGTTCACTTTATCAATGTTTCGCTTTTGTTGTCGAGTCTAAGGGCTCTTTGCCCACCCCTAGACCAGTGGAGCGCCTCCACGCACAACACAACCCCACCTCACATTCATCCACGAACCTCTGCTGGGTGGCCACTCTGTGCCCTGCCCTACATCCCCGGCTGGACAATAGTCCCCATTTTCTTCTCGAATGCCTACTCCCCACTGAGCGCTAAGAAGAGCATCTAAGTGGTCAACTCGGCCCCAGGTAGCCTCAGCCCAGACCCCAAACCCACTAGTAGCTAACTATGCCAGAGGCTCGGGTTCCAGAAGAGGCCTTCCATCACCGGGGGACTCCCAGCTCCGTGTGCTCTGCAGGGAATGCCAAAGGCCTGTTGGGTTTGGACTCTGGGGACTCTCAACAACGGCTTATGTCTAAACAGCCTGATCCCTCACTGTGATCCTGGAATCCCAGACCTGCTTCTCCCTAGACAGCCACCAAAGCAGCCCTAAGTGAAGGGCAAACGGAAGGGCAATTCAAGCATTTGTGGATTGCTCTGTCTACTGGGACTTTGGATTTGGGGACTCAGCTACATTGTAGAGACTTTTAAAAAACTCTTAATTAGTCATCTCTGCTACTCCCCCTGGTGCTGGTAAGGTTGGTCCTGGAGCAAGAACAGCTCATTCCAGCTGCTCTGAGGCATAACACAGGCAGCTTGGCCCTTCTCCCATCCAAGTGAAGTTTAATTAGTTTCTACTCACAAACAATTAATGTCTAATTATTCATTAACCCCTGCTGGCTATTTTATTCCTGAGCCCAAATCCTCTCCATTCTGGGGCAGTAATTTGGGTATGCCTTCATTTACTAGGCCCCTGGTTGACTTTGAATGCCTGGCAATGTTCTTGGATAACCCAAGGAGACTTTTCCCAACGCAAAAGCTCCAGATTCATCCACCGCTGTTCTGGGCGATAATCGGTGAAAATTTATCCTAAATTTAGCCAGTGAGAGCAGCACCGGAGAAGAGTTAGATTTGGCAGAGTGGTTGTTGCAGGGAAGACCTAGGCAGGTCCTGACTCTGGATTAAACCCAAGTCAGGGCTGAGAGGGGCTTAAAGAGCACTCTGCCCAGGACTTGCTCTTCAGCGGAGACACTGAGGTCTGAAATGGCAGGGGTCAGGTGCCCGCCAAAGCCTAGGAGCAAGGCACTTAGATTTTGAGAATCTAAACATAATCTCTTAAGTGATAAGACTCAAATTAAAAAAAAAAGGACTGTCCAGAAAAATGCATGTATCGGTTGACACTCAAAACCCCGCAAAAATGATGGGACTCAGGCCCCCTGAAGGCATCTTTGCAGTCTAAGTTATGAAGCCATACACTTTACAAAAAAAAGTTGTTTTAACTTTCAAATAATAAAAACTACCATAAATAGTATTTAAAAATAAATTAAAAAGTAGGAAAGATGTATGGAACATATAAAAGACAAAGGTTAATATCCCTAATGAATAGGAGCTTCTAAAAATTAGAGAAGAACAAACAATCCCACTTAAAAATGGGCAAAAAGGGCCTTAAACATATAAAAACCTACTTCAACTTACCCGTAACAGGAGAGATGCTCACTGAAACTACTCTGAAATACTATTTTTCACCTATAAAGACATTAGCCAAAATCTAAAGGTTTGACATCACACACTTTTGAACAGGCTACAGTATCTTTATATGTGGCTGGTAATAATGAAAAATGTCACAACCCCATGAAAGATAATATCCAGGAAAACCGCATATGCATTATCTTTTGTCCCAACAATTCCATTTTTAGGAATCTATTCCAAAGGTACACTGACTGGCAAAGATACAGAAAGACACATGGGCTGGGCGCAGTGGCTCACGCCGTAACCCGAGGTGGGTAGATCACCTGAGGTCAGGAGTTCATGACCAGCCTGGACAACATGGTGAAACCCCATCTCTACTAAAAACACAAAAATTAGCCAGGTGCAGTGGCAGGTGCCTGTAATCCCAGCTACTCAGGAGGCTGAGGCAGGAGAACCACTTGAACCCAGGAGGTGGAGGTTACAGTGAGCTGAGATTGCACCATTGCACTCCAGCCTGGGTGACAGAGTGAGACTCCACCTCAAAACAAAATAAAACAAACAAAAAGACACATGTATAACACTATCCATTGCAGGATAATTTGTAATAGGGAAGGACAAGCATCAACTCAGTTATTCATCAATAAGGGACTAGTTGAATGCACATCTACGAACTGGAGTATTATGCAGCTGTAACTAGGAATAGGACCACCTTTATTTACTGCTAGTGAGTAATCTGCTGGCTCATGGTTACGTGAAAAAAGCCAGGCACAGAATGTTTATAGGTGCTACTGTCTAGCTAAGAAAGGAGAGATGTAAATATACCTAATGTTCTGGTCTAAATGTTTGGGTCCCCCTAAAATTCATATGTTGAAGCCCTGGCCCCTAATGTGATTGTATTTGGAGATGGGGCCTTTGGGGGGTAATTACTTTGGGTTAGATGAGGTCATGAAGGCAGAGCCCTCATAAAGGGATTAGTGACCTTATAAGAAGAGACACCAAAGGGCTCATTCTCTCTGTCCACAAAGAAGAGGTCATATGAACACACAGTGAGATGGCAGCCACCCACAAGCCAAGAGAAGAAGCCTCAGAATGAAACCTACCAGGCTGGTACTTTGCTCTTGAACTTCCCAGACTCTAGAACTAGAAGAAGTAAATTTCTGTGGTTTAAGTCACCTGGTGTGGTATTTTGTTATGGCATCCTGAGCTAAGACACCTAGATTGTGGCCTCTGAATAGCATTTCCCAGTGACAGGAACCAGGACTCCTTGGAGAAATGACTGAGTCCAAGTCCAAGGAAGGAAATGTACAAGAGCCTAAAACTTCTTGTTATACTAAAGCTGAAGACTACTGGGATAATGTCAGAAGGACTGAAGAACTAATTTCAATAAGCTTCCACCAGCTAAAAATGGGGCAATTTGAGGATAAATATAAAAATAACCACAATGGGCCGGGCGTGGTGGCTCACGCCTATAACCCCAGCACTTTGGGAGGCCGAGGTGGGTAGATCACCTGAGGTCAGGAGTTTGAGGCCAGCCTGTAATGGTCTTTCCAAACACAAGCCTGGTCTCTTTAGTAGAGACCAGATGGTGAAACCCCGTCTCTACGAAAATACAAAAATTAGCCGGGCATGGTGGCGGGCACCTATAATCTCAGCTACTTGGGAGGCTGAGGCAGGAGAATCACTTGAACCCAGGAGGCAAAGGTTGTAGTGAGCCAAGGTTGCGCCATTGCACTCCAGCCTGGGCAACAAGAGTGAAACTCTGTCTCACCAAAAAAAAAGAAAAAAAAGAAAAGAAAGAAAAGAAAAAGAAAAAGAACCACAATGGATTAAAGTGCATCAAACATACTTAAATTCATGAGTTTATAATGATATTGAACGAAACAAAACTTTATTGGTCACTTTTGGAAGATTCAAGAAAACTACTCATTACTTGAAAAACTGAAAAATAATGGGAAACAAGCATTTATTCTGCCTCTCCTGTATGAATTGGACCTCAAGATATTCAGATCATAAATAAGAAAAAAATTCATTTTAGAACTATTCTGACTAATAAATGAAGAAGGAATGGTAGAACTAGCATGTCACCATTTTGCACCCCCTAATAAATGAAATAATAAAGATAAGAATCAACAGTAATGTTAACTCCATGAAAAGAGGGACAGGCAGGTGTTATGTACCATCTGAGCACCCCCTATAATGCAGTCTTGTCATAAACATAGAACCTGAGTCTGATCAAGTCTCTAATCTTACTACGTACCGGTTTAAAAGAAACGCAGGGAATAGCATGGTTAAAGGACACCATGGGAGACAATAATCAAAATCTAGACTCTAAGAAACCCTACAGGACATACCACTTAGTGTCTTTAAATATTTATATACCAGAGAGAGAGAGACAGAGAAAGAGAGAGAGGAATATTTAAGAGATATAGCAACTAATCACAGTATACTTTTGAATCTCAATTCTAACAAACAAGCTGTAATTCCAATAACAAAACCTTTATAAGACAAATCAAGGAAAAGGGAGTACCATCAGTTCTGCTATAACACAACATGTGTGTTCCTAAAATTCCTTGCACTATGCAAAATTCCACAATAGGAACCATGAGGCTTATGGGAAAATGGAGTTAGGGGAACAACGCTTGAAAACTTCATCAGTGACACATTTGAAAAAGAGAGAGAAGTGCTAATAAAAGAGGCAGTGCAGTTTTACACATGTTAAGTGGTTAAGAAAAGCGTAGGTGCTGCAGCCGGGCGTGGTGGCTCACGCCTATAATCCCAGCACTTTGGAAGGCTGAGGCGGGAGGATCACGAGGTCAGGAGATCGACACCATCCTGGCTAACATGGTGAAACTCCGTCTCTACTAAAAAATACGAAAAAAAGAAAAATTATTCGGGCGTTGTGGCAGTCACCTGTAGTCCCAGCTACTTGGGAGACTGAGGCAGGAGAATGGTGTGAACCCGGGAGGCAGGGCTTGCAGTGAGCCGAGATGGCACCACTGCACTCCAGCCTGGGCAACAGAGCAAGACTCTGACTCAAAAATAAAATAAAATAAAATAAAAAATAGAAAAGCATAGGTGCTGCAATAAACATAATACTTAACCCTCAAAAAGCCCAGGAGATTGCTTACGCAAGTCGGGTCTTACAGCTTGTGACGTGATGGAAGGAGGGTGATCTGGCATCTGATAGAATGTTGTAACAACAGATGTGCATGTGTGACTCATGATCATTGTAGGGAAAAGAAAGAGAGATCAGACTGTTACTGTGTCTATGTAGAAAGGAAAGACATAAAAGACTCCATTTTGAAAAAGACCTGTACTTTGAACAATTGTTTTGCTGAGATGTTGTTAATTTGTAGCTTTGCCCCAGCCAGTTTGACCCGACCACTTTGACCCAATCTGGAGCTCACAAAAACATATGTTGTATGAAATCAAGGTTTAAGGGATCTAGGGCTGTGCAGGACGTGCCTTGTTAACAAAATGTTTACAAGCAGTATACATGGTAAAAGTCATCGCCATTCTCTAGTCTCAATAAACCAGGGGCACAATGCACTGCGGAAAGCCACAGGGACCTCTGCCTTTGAAAGCGGGGTATTGTCCAAGGTTTCTCCCCATGTGATAGTCTGAAATATGGCCTCGTGAGATGAGAAAGACCTGACCGTCCCCCAGCCCGACACCCGTAAAGGGTCTGTGCTGAGGTGGATTAGTCAAAGAGGAAAGCCTCTTGCAGGTGAGATAGAGGAAGGCCACTGTCTCCTGCCTGCCCCTGGGAACTGAATGTCTCGGTATAAAACCCGACTGTACATTTGTTCAATTCTGAGATAGGAGAAAAATCGCCCTATGGTGGGAGGAAAGACATGTTTGCAGCAATGCTGCCTTGGTATTCTTTACTCTGCTAAGATATTTGGGTAGAGAGAAACATAAATCTGGCTTACGTGCACATCCAGGCATAGTACCTTCCCTTGAACTTCATTATGACGTAGATTCTATTGCTCACATGTTTGTTGCTGACCTTCTCCTTATTATCACCCTGCCCTCCTACTACATTCCTTTTTGCTGAAATAATGAAGATAATAACCAATAAAAACTGAGGGAACTCAGAGACCGGTGCCGGTGCAGGACCTTGGTATGCTGAGCACCGGTCCCCTGGGCCCACTGTTGTTTTCTCACGTTTTCTCACCTTTCCAAACGTGTCCATGCCTAGAAGCTGGAGACCCCATCCACACTGCAGTACCAGGGATTCTTCCTGGGCAGTGTATAGCAGGTAAGTGTATCTCGCTGCCCAAGGCTAGCAAAGAAGCACCTAAAACTCAGCAGATCCCTGTCTGAATTCCATCTCCCTTTAATCCAGCCCCCACCTCACCTCCAGCTTTCTTATTTGTGGTCATAGCTTTCCATCCCTAGGGAATACTGGCAATTCCCTCAGGGTATTTCAGCCTCCTCTCTGACTCCCTTCTTGGACACACCCAGTTGCATGCACACATGCCTACTAATAAAGATAAATCACAAAATTCTTTCTTTTCTTTTTTTTTTTTTTTTTTTGAGTGAGCCTGGGTCTCACTCTGTCACCCAGGCTGGAGTGCAGTGGTGCAATCTCGGCTCACTGCAACCTCAGCCTCCCGGGTTCAAACAATTCTTCTGCCTCAGCCTCTCAAGTGGCTGGGACTACAGGCACGCACCACCACACCAGGCCATTTTTTTGTATTTTCAGTAGAGACAGGGTTTCACCGTGTTAACAGGATGGTCTCGATCTTCCCACAAATCACAAAATTCTATGAATTCTACCCCCTTCCCCAGTGTTCTCACATTTCTCTCCTTTACTCTTTTATTCCCGCTCCTTTAGTTCAAGTCATCATTTCTCCCTGCACCATTTTAATTGCCTTTTGTTTTCACTTTCCCCACTTCCAATCCAATCCAGTCTCTTTGCTGCAATCAGTGGGATTTTAAATACAAATCTGTTACTCCCCCATTTAAAATCTCCCCTGGGTCCCGTTTCCAGTCTCCTAGAGGACGAGATCTATATTCCTTTGTGCCATTTATGCATCATCAGTTCTTCTTGGACTCGTAGCCTCCCCATTCCTTCCTGCCCCTGGGGGTCTGCTCACCTGTGCCCTTTGGTCTGATGCCCATGCTAGGCAAAGGGAACGGAGTGGCCACGACTCTCACCTGTTAAAATCCTTCGCATCCTCCAAGGCCTATCTCCAATGATACCTACCCCAGAAAGCGTTCCTTATCTCTTTTTCTTCCCACCCTCAATCAAAACCTCTGCCCCTCTGCCTGTCCACAGCCCCTTGACACAAACCACCTTCCACTTTGCAGGTAACCATTTGTGTCCTGGATGTCTGTCCACCCAAGAGGCCATGACTTTGCAAAGGCAAGGCAAGGGCAGTGCTGGATCTCCGGCTCTGCTTCCTCCTCATCATCCAAGGAGAGGTCCTGCCTGCCCTGGCTCCCTGGACATGGGCTTCCAATGGGCTATCACAGCTATTTCCAGGGTAGCAAAATTCCTGGACTAGATGTGGGGTGACTGCTGCTGAACAGAGGTGGGCCCCAGGGTGAAGGACCTTGCTCAGCCTCCCCTCAGTTTGGTCTACCAGGCCCTTGTCAAGCACTCTGCTGGAGTCTGGGGGTACTGATCTTTGGAAATGTCAGTCCTGGAGGCTGAGCTGTTCCCCAGAGCCCTAGAGACCCCTCACCAACTACTTTATTGAGGGACAAGGCAGTAGGCAGGAGTGCTGGGAAATCTGGTTTGCTTGGTATGCCTTCTTGCACACCCACCTCTCCCTGCACCTGGTTCTATTTGTATCTGAGCTTCTCGAACTGCAATAATGATGCAGCCTAGCTGGCTTCTGGAAGCTGGGAGCTGTTGTCAGGCACTCTTCAGTGTGTTCTCTACTTCCAGTAGGAATGTTGGCAAATCCTGCAGGGCCTACAGCCTCATCCAGTTTGCAAGTGCTCTATGGACAAACCCAGATCCCCATGCCCCGCCACTCCTCCCAAGGAGATGTGTGAGTGTCCCCAAGATCTGAACTGCACCAGAGGAGGAATTCCTGGACCCAGCTAGTGCTTCCAGGAGGTGGGCTGGGTGATACCTAAGTGACAGAGGGAAGTAATATGTGGCCCTACCCCCTCCCTAAAGTCTAGCATTTGAAATGTGTTAAAAGTGTGATCTCTGACAAATTAATTTCTTTTCACTTCTATTTTGTTATCTGTAATATGAGGATAATAATAGCATTTTATTCATAAGGTAGTTATAAAGATTAAATGTCATTTCACTCCTACTAGGATGGCTGTAATTTAAAAAAAAGAAAAATAACAAATGTTGGTGAGGATGTAGAGAAATTAGAACCTTGGTGCATTGCTGGCTGAAAAGTAAAATGGTGCATGGCTACCAAGAACAGTTTGGCAGTTATTTAAAAAGTTAACCATAAAGTTACCATGTGAGGCAGCAATTTTACTCCTAAGGATATACACCACAGAACTGAAAACATATGTTCACACAAAAACAGAATATTCATAGTAGTATTATTGATAATTGCCCCAAAGTAGAAACAGCCCAAAATTTCCATCAATTGATGAATGGATAAACAAAATGTGTATATCCATACAATGGACTATTACCCAGCCACAAAGAGGAATGAAGAAGTGATAGATGCTATAATGTGGAAGAACCTTGAAAACATTACGCGAACTAAATTTTAATTATGTGGAAAACAAAAGACCATACACTGTATGATACTATTTATATGAAATATCCAGAATACGCAAATCCATAGAGACCGAAAGTAGATTAGCGATTTCCAGGAATGAGGGAGGAGTGAGCGAGGTGTGACTGCTCATGGGTACAGGGTTCCTTTTTAGGAGTGATGGGAAAGTTCTGGAATTACTGCTGGTGATAGCACAACCATGTGAATATATTTTAAAACCAGAATTGTACACTTTAAAAGGGTGAGTTTTATGGTATTGAATTACATCTCAATTTGTAAAAAGAACAAGATCACACACACACACACACACACACACACACACACACAATTAGATGTGCCAATACCATTCCCGGCCCACAGTAAGTGCTCCATTAATGGGAGTTGGGAGGGTAACATTCGTAAGCCACTGCATTCAGGCACCATCTTTGGGTTTCCTGCTAAAAGGCTGCCCATCAGAATCAGCTGTTAAAGATATTTAACTTGTGTTTTGCTACCTTAGCAAGAAAGTATATTAAAAATGCCCTGGATTTATCCTTGGGAACAGTGGGTCACCTGTCAGGGAAGAATGAGTGGGGTTTCTCTTCTCTGGCATCCATTCATGTACCCTATGGCAGTGGTCTAGGCCTAAATGTAGAGATAGTAGGACCCTGGGGAAAATGGGACAAGGGGACAGAGAAGGGCTCTGGCCCTTGAGGTTCCAGCACCTAAACCAGTGGCAGACTCAAGAGCTGCTGTGGCAGGTGGCCTGCAACAGGACTTCTGGGGGGCACCTGGGGAGAGCCAGGAGCAGTAGCTGTTGGGGAGGACCCATCTTGGCATCATGGCCCGGCAATGACTCACTCGGGTGATGCTCCATCTTCCCCAATCTTCAGGGCATCCAGTAGGAAGTATCGTCACCATTTCTACACCCAACAGTCATTTCCACTAGGCCTCTTGTCACTGCAATAGAGCATAAGCCAGACGTGGGGGTCCACCAAGCTCCTAACAGGGGAGGGGAAAGCCTGGAGCATTTTGTTGAGCTCAGGCTGAGGGGAGCAGCACACCCTAGATTCTCAGATTCACTGGGGCTCCTGCTGCGTCCCCCTTTCCATTCCCTCCACTCTCTCCACTCTGTTCCTTGTTCAGCCCATAACGGCCTCCCCGGGCCACTGGTCAGCCCCCAGTGTGCACGCCCATCCAGCTTTCCTCCACCCTGCAGGTGGACTCACCTCCTGCTCCTGTCCCAACCTAGCTCAAAGCCCTTCCCGACTTCCTCAGCATTCACTTTTGCCACAGCTGCCCTACACACATCCCCTATTTCAGCAGCATTGCCCATAGGAAGGAGTTCAGCTTAAGTCACAAATGCATCAAAATAATAAACGTGTCCTCTTTTCAGTCCCCCGAAAGCACCAGGCACCACGCCGCCTCTGCACTTCTGTCCCCGTTGTTCTTCACCTTGGAAGCCAGCTTCCCCCTCTCCACTTACTCACACCTCGCTGTGGATGAGGACTGAGTGCCTGGCCTCTGCCAACCCCAGCCAGCAATATAGCTGAGGGAGCAGGAGGTTGTCCACTCAGCCCAAGGAAGGAGAGGCCACGCTCAGCCCCATGCGGGGGCTCTGCAGCTACTGCCCTTCGCAGCTGTGCCTGGGGCTCAAGAATGTCCCAGAACCCTCACCCTCCCCTCCTACCCCACCCGGCAAATGGAGTGCTGAGAAGGCACCGCTCCCCCGTGCTCTCCACCACCTCTGCAGACATTGTCCTGCCCTCCCATGTCCCATCCGCCACCCAGCTGGGCTTCAGGACATGGATGATGCTTGGTCTGCAGTCTATACAGTTCCAGAAGATCAAGAAAAACATTCTTGCAGTAGAAAACAGTGTTCTATGTGCAGAAGTTGACAGGTGCTATTGTCACCTTTCAGAGCAATTTGATGCCTTCTGAAACGTGAGTGCCTGTCACTGGAGGAGGAAGTGTTTTTGCCAAGCGTTTGATGCATTTCCAGCAAAGTCACGAAACGCACAAAGCTGCCTAGCAGCGGCCTGCTCCTCAGCCAGCCACCGCTCCAGGCTTCCTTGAGCTTCATGGTGTCCTGAGGGCAACACTGTGTGCCCTGACCCTGCTTTGTCTTCTAGTGGGAGACCTGAACTAGAGTGCCATGAGTCAGCAGGCTCAGTCCGCACTCTTTGCCAGGACATGAGCAGAACTAGGGGGACAACTTCTGCTACATTTGCTTGGAATTGCTTTTGTCTTTTCATCCTAATGAGGTAGAAAGTGGGAGAGGGGCTCCGTGTAGTCTGTCCCCTGAACGTCTCTGCCCCCACACCACTGCCCCACCCCAAACCCAGAGTGGACTCACTCATCCTGGAGCTCAGCCACCCCCACACCTGGAGGGTGGTGGCATGCCACCAGGGACATTAGCTGGACAGTAAAGGCTAGTCTGTCCCTCCCAGCACAGTGAGTCACCAGGCAACGACTAGCTCCTCAACAACAGAAGAGTAGGAATCAGGGATGACCAGTTGTTCTTGCTCCAGTGAATGCCAAAATGCCCCTTGGGGATTCTTGGGCTCTTCTCTAGAAACAGGGAATGTATAATGAGGGCATTGGAATCTCAGAGCCTCTCTGTTAATATAGTAAATGTTTATGAGTATAAACTCTAGAGTCAGTATGCGTGGGTTCAAATTCTACCTCTGCCATTTATGTAAACGCTGTGTGACCTCAGACAGTGATTTGGCTTTTCTGTGCTTAGACTCCCTATCTTTAAAATGAGACTTTTAAAGGTAATAAGGGAGCTCCTCTACTTCTTAAATTTGTCTCAGAACAATTAATATTTAGTATATTAATATATTTTAAAGTAATGTCAAAAACCGCAATTATTTTTGCACTAATCTAATACTTTTAACAATGTCCAGCGCATGGTAAGTACCACAAGTGCTAACTTGCTTTGGGGGAGTTAGACAGAAATCAAGTGCACAGGCTCTTAGAACTTGGGGATAAGTAGCCAGAAAACAAACAAAACAAAAAATTGGGCCAGGTGCAGTGGCTCGTGCCTGTAATACCAGCACTTCAGGAGGCCGAGGCTGGGGGATTGCTTGCGCTCAGGAGTTTGAGACCAGCCTGGGTAACATGGTGAAACCTCATATCTACAAAAAATACAAAACTTAGCTGGGTATGGTGGCATGTACCTGAAGTCTCAGCTACTCGGGAGGCTGAGGCGGGAGGATTGTTCAAACCCAGGAGGTCGAGGCTGCAGTGAGCTGTGATCATGTCACTGACATTGTGCCACTACACTCCAGCCTGGGCAGCAGAGCAAAAAAAAAAAAAAAAATGAAGATTAATGGATTTTGGATCTTGGTTCTGTCCCTTTCTAGCTGTGTGACTTTGGGCCAGTTAGTTAAATGCTTTGTGCATCAGTTTTCTCATCTAAAGGGGGCAATGTTACTAGTACTAGAATAGTTAAACGATTAGATGGATGGATATTTAGAAAGTTTAGAGCAATGCCTAGTACTACATTAGCTATTATTACTGTTCTGCATTATTATTATTATTATTATTTTATAGTTTACCTATGAGTATTGTATTATTATTTCTCTGCTATAGGAGAGACACAATTTCAGGGCCCTCATTCCCCAGGCTGTGAGGGGCCTCAGCTGAGGAACAAGGGTCAGACTAGAGCCCCAGAAGGTGGTAATCTCTTTGGCCCTGGAGTGGGGCAGGCCAATGCTCAGTCTGGTCGGAGGGTTCTCATTTGCAATTCTAACAGAAGCAGGGCACTGCTGGATCCTCCAAGGAGGGCAGTACTATTATGAAGTGTGACCCAGGCCATCACCATCCACAAGAAAAGAGCCTGAACTTTGGGGATCAACAGATATGGTTTCAAACTTTGACTCTGTCTCTCAGCAGCCCTGTGACCTTGGACAAGCTGCTTGATTTTCTGAACCTCCATTTCCTCATCTCCAAATGATGGTAGGATCACCTTCCCTGCAGAGGCAGCTACACTCCTGGCCCTGCACTGGTTCAGGAAAAGCAATTCTTTCTTTCCTCATCCCTTACTTGACCTCTTTCAACTCTGTGATTTGGGGCCAGCCGAGGCTGAATTTAGGGAGGAAAGGCTCGTTTCATTTCACTTACTCCCTCAGGACCAAAAGCTGCAGGTCAGAGTCAATTTGACAAACCCAAGAATCCATTTAACATCTTTGATTAAGATCTCAAACCCCCAAGGAAAAGCATCTGTGCTATGATGTGGAGTGTCTATTTCTGAGGCTGTGGTTTTTGTGTTTTTCTTTTTACTTAATCCATGGAATGCATAAATATATGTTAGTGGTATTTAGAAAAAAAGACTTCAAACAATACAGAAGAATTTTGAGTAAAAAGTGAAAGTACCATTCTGCAATGACCATTTTGCAACAAACCTGCTTCCTCTTCCTTACAGAAGAGATCACCATAAATAATTTAGTGTTCAGTCATTCTAGACCTTTTTCTTTTTCCTTTTTTTTTTATTGAGATGGAGTTTCGCTCTTTTTGTCCAGGCTGGAGTGCAATGGCGCAATCTCGGCTCACTGCAACCTCTGCCTCCCAGGTTCAAGCAATTCTCCTGCCTCCGCCTCCTGAGTAGCTGGAATTACAGGCACCCACCACCATGCCCAGCTAATTTTGTATTTTTAGTGGAGATGGGGTTTCACCATGTTGGCCAGGCTGGTCTCGAACTCTTGACCTCAGGTGATCCACCCGCCTTGGCCTCCCAAAGTGCTGGGATTACAGGCATGAGCCACCGCACCGGGCCTCTAGACCTTTTTCTATGTGTGTACAGAGAAATGTAAGTATTACTTTACTTATTTGGATCCTGCGCCATATGCTACTCTAAGACATGTTGCTTCTGTTTAACATGTCTTTGAGAGCCTTCCTTGTTGGCACAAGTTGAGCTGCCTCATTGTTTTTAATGGCTGCATATTATCCATTTGTGTGGATGGACAATTCATTTGCCAGCTCCTCTCCTGTTAAGCATCTAGGGTGTTTGCAACTTCTTGCTCTTATGAATGTGTGTGTGCCTTTGTGCAAATGTGGAAACATTTCTGTAAGAGTTTCCTAGAAATGGAATTCCCAGCCCCAAGGATTGAAGGAGGTACAACTTACTCTACATTATACCTCCTTACTATATTTTATTTTTATTCATAGCATTTATTATAAATAACACTTTCTATTTATTTATTGTCTACTTTTCCCACTAAAATATAATTTTCACAAGAGCAGGTACCTTGTCTGTCTGAATTCAATGCTATATCCCCAATGCCTCGAATAGCTCCTGGCACATAGTAGGGATTCAATACTTATTGAATGAAAAAATTGATAGAAAAGCCAGCATGGTGGCTCACACCTGTAATCCCAGCATTTTGAGAGGCCAAGACAGGAGGGTCATTTGAGGCCAAAGACCAGGAATTCGAGACCAGCCTGGACAACATTGCAAGATTCCTCTACAAAGATTAGCTGGGGCTTGTGTGGTGGCTCATGCTTGTAATTGCAGCACTTTGGGAGGCTGAGGTGGGTGGATCACTTCAGGTCAGGAGTTTGAGACCAGTTTGGCCAACATGGTGAAACCCCGTCTCTACTGGAAATACAAAAAGTAGCCAAGTGTGGTGGCAGGCATCTGTAATCCCAGTCATTTGGGAGGCTGAGGCAGGAGGATCGCTTGAACCCAGGAGACAGAGGTTGTAGTGAGCCAATACCACTGCACTCCAGCCTCGACAACAGAGCAAGACTCTGTCTCAAAAAAAAAAAAAAAAAATTAGCTGAGTGTGGTTGTGCGTGCTTATAGTCCTACCTACTCAGGAGGCTGAGGTGGGAGGATCACTTGAGCCCAGGAATTCAAGGCTGCAGTGAGCTAAAATCAGCCGATGAACTTCCAGCCTGGGCAACAGAGAGAGACCGTGTTTCTTAAAATAATAATAATAATAATAATTAAAAAAGAATAAAAAGCCATGCATTTTTAATGTTGATAGGTGTTGTCAGTTTATTTTCCAAAAGACTGACCAATTTACACTCTACCAAGAGAGTAAGGGACTGTTTACCCTGAACCCTTACCAACACTGGATATTATCAAGTTTTAAATTAATTTTTCTCACTTAATAGGAAAAAAAATGCCATCTCCCCATTAACACCACTGCTTGACAAGTTCTTCCCAAGGCACACCTTGCTCCTCACCATGAGGGGTGAGACTGACTCGGGAAGTTCTGTCTGCAGCGAGTGTGCCCAGAGCCACAGGCCTGGAAGCCAGCCCAAGAGATGGATAAGCAGAGCAGAGGATCCAGGCGGAGCCTGAGCCAGAGCTGCAGCCCAAGGGGGCCCTGGGGTGGGGTCTGGATAATGTCACAGCTGCTCCCGGCAGCTGCCCGCATGACAGCCCATTACCCAAGTGGAGGCAGAAGAGAAGTTGCTACCAGAGAGGGGGCCCTCAGAGAGTGGAAGGGCGGGTCCAGCCGCCCATCAAAGGGAACAGTGTGTGGGCAGAAGGCTGCCTGGCCACGGCCAGGCCCAGCCCCCACAGAGGGATCAGAGCACCCAAGGCCCTGACCGCCTCTGAGTCATTGACCTTCATCTTCAAAGATCCTTCCCTAGAGACTCCTGTGATTCTTCCCTCCCCGAGTGACCTGGTGTCACTGTAAGTGTCTCAAAGTCTTTATTCTCGTTCTGTACCATCTTCCCCTACCCTTCTGCACATCACATGGCTTCCCAGGAGGAACAGTTTCTCCAGGATGGCCCTGTGTCTCTTCAGGGTGATGCCTGCCTGCGACTCCCTCAGCCTGGGGAAGGAGGAGGCTGGGCCTCTCTCTCAGACCCCTGCCTGGGAATCCACCCCTCCGTGGACTTGGAGACCTGCACACTGGCCTGGCTTCCTCAACCCATCTATACCACAGGGAAAAGGGAGTGGGAAGGACTTTCTAGTATAAATGGGACCTTCAACACCTGTGAAAAGAAGGCGGAGGGGAACGGACCTAATGAGCTAATGCAACATGTGGATCTGGTTTAGATTCTGGTTTGAGTAAACCAATCACAAAAGACATTTTTGCAACAATTGCAGAAACACTAATACGGACTATTAGATGATATTAAGGAATTAGTGTTAATTTTGATGGATATGATCACGATATTATGTTTATATAGACAACTGTTTTTGCATTTTAGAGACGCATACTGAAGTATTTAGGGTAAAACGTGTGTCAGTAATATTCTTTAAAATACTCAAGCAAAAAAAAAAGTCAATGAAGCAGATACAGCAAAATGTTAACAATTATTAAATCCAGGTGATGGGTATTGTGGGTTTATTATGTTATCCTCTCAATTTTCTGTATGTTTAATCCTTTTCATAATAAAAATTGTAAGATGGAAGAAGAAAAGGAAGAGAGGGGAAAGGGAAGAGAAGGAGGAGGAGGAGGGAGGGGGGAGGGCCGGCGGAGAAGTGGGAGGAGGAAGAAAGTCATAGACCTCCAGCAGGGTCAGTGTTCTCCACAGGATAGGGCAAGACACCCCAAAGTTGGCCTTGACTTTAACAGTCTTGATTCTAACAATCAGAGGTCCTTGGCTGCTCCTGGCACGGCCCTTCCTGGCAATAGCTTGCCCAGGCTCTCTGAGGGCCCAAGCCCAGCAGGAATGGATCACAGTCCCCAGTGTTGGCTACCTCATTGCTATGAGCTCTGAGATCTGGCCAGGCACATGATACAGGAGGCAGTGCCTTGAGATGTGATGAATTGATTTCAGGCAGAAAACCTGAGGACTTGGCCCAGCAGACCCCCCAGGAAGCTGGAGCCCACGTCATTGGCAGTGCAGCCAAGCATGAGCTAACCTGTCTGTGTTTGCAGCAATCAAGACAGCACGATCCTTCCCAGAAGTCAGAGTTGGCTCGTACAAGCACAAGAGAAGTCATCTGCAGATCCGACAGCAAGAGTGGTCTTGCCAAGCTGGGTCTTTACGGGAATAGCCAGGGCACCACCCACACACACATACCTCGGGCCCCCAGGCTTAGCCCTCCTGGAGAGAGGATGCAGCCCATCGCCATTCACCATCCGGTCTCCAACATGCCTGGAAGCTAGCATCAGCCCTGATGCCTGCAGGGTGCGCAGTGTGAGCTCCCCAGGGGTCTCTGTACCAGGAGTCTGAAGTTCAGTGAAAGATTTCAGAAGTGGGCAAGGTGTTCCTCCTGTTCTGGGTATCCACACACTCAACAAACATTCGCTGAGCACATACTTGTTGCTGTGGCCAACCACTGTCAGACTGAGGGCCACAGGGATGAGTACATTGCAAGCCCTGCCCACTGAGGCTCGCAGTCTGTGGAGGGAACAGCACCAGACTCCGACCAACCCAGACCAACCTGGGAGGGATCAAAGCATGGGGTTCTGCTCTGTGTGGCCTGGCAGGGTGGCAGCACCTCTGCAGCCATGACCAGCACGGGCTAGCAGGCTCCTGGAGAGATGTAACAGAAGATAGAAAGTAGCTGTTCTCGAAGCGTGGCCTCCACACCTCCAGCAGCAGCATCCTCTGGGAACTTAACTAAAAATGCAAATTTCCAGGTCCTGCCCCAAACCTACTACCTTAGTTTGTGATGCTATAAAAAAGTACCATAGACTGGGTGGGTGGCTTATAAAACAACAGAAATTTCATTTTTACAGTTCTGGAGGCTGGTAGCCTGAGATCAGAGTGCCAGCATGGTTAGTGTCTGATGAGGGCCCTCTTTTGGTTGCAGAAAATGGCCTTTTCATTGTAACCTCACATGGCAGAAAGGGGGTGAGAGAGCTCTCTGGGGTCCCTTTCATAAGGGCACTAATCCCATTGGTGAAGTCTCCACCCTCATGACCTGACCACCTCCCAGAGGTCTCATATCCTAATACCATCACATTAGGGGTTAAAATGTCAAAACATGAATTTTGGGCAGGATTGGTGGGGGCAGATATAATCAGTCCATAACACCTGCTATATCAGAAACCGGAACTGGAGCCTAGAACACTGTGTTTAACAAGCCCTCCAGGTGATGCAGGTGCATGTTCAAGTTTGAGAACAGAAGGCTTCACCTACTTGAGGTGTGGCCCGGGTGTGGTGGCTCACACTTGTAATCCTAGCACTTTGGGAGGCTGAGGCAGGCAGATTGTCTGAGCTTAGGAGTTCGAGACCAGCCTGGGCAACATAGTGAAACCCCATCTCTACTAAAATACAAAAAATTAGCCGGGCATAGCAGCATGTGCCAGCAGCTACTCGGGAGGCTGAGGCAGGAGAATCGCTTGAACCTGGGAAGCAGAGGCTGCAGTGAGCTGAGATCGTGCCACTGCACTCCAGCCTGGGCAACAGAGCGAGACTCCATCTCCAACAAAAAAAAAAAAAAAAGAAAAAGAAAAGAAAAAAGAAAAGGGAGTTGTGAGGAAGCAGATTTCAGTTAAAGGGAAAAAACAAACTTTCCAACTGACAGCTGCTAAGCAATGAACCCAACAGCCTCATTCACCCATAGTGAATTCCCATGCCTGGACGTCTGGAATGTAGGCTGGGAATATTCTCCAGGACAGGCTAGGTTATAATGTCCTACTATACAAACAGCCCCCAAATCTCAACAAGCTTAACCCTTGCTCATGCAAAGTCTGCTGCAACTCGGGCAGCCCTCCAGGGCACTGTCTTCTTGCAGTGCCTCGGTGGGCCTGGCTGCTTTGATCTGGGGCTTTGCTGTCTCAACACAGGCACTTGTCTGTGATCAGTCCCGAAAGGGAAGAGGGACTTCCCTCTTCCCTGGGGAATGGCTCAGGGACTTTCACTGCCTCAGCTCAGAATTGTGACAAACATTACTTTTGCTCCTATCTCACAGGTCAGAAATGCCACTCGGCCCCTCGTAACTGCAAAGGGACTGAAAGGTGTGGTCTCCCAGAGGTCCAGGAAGGAAAGAAGCCCTGGGAAGTTTCCCACAAGGCCCAGCTTCTTCTCAAGGAGACTGTGGATAAGGAAAGAAGGCAGGCAAGGCTGCTGTGCTGGAAAGAAGGTAGATTACCTTAAAGATCGTTTCTAAACCTAAGATTCTACTTTTCTATAATTCTCTGGTTCTGAAATGGTTTAAATTGCCAAGTGGTTCTACACTCCTTGGAAGTTCTAAGTTTCTGGGAGGGTTTAGTCATAACTCAGCTCACAACGTGGCCACTGCAGCCCCTTCAGGTCCCTTGGACTCCAGGCCTCTGGCAAGCAGGGCCCAGGGCAGACGAGGGTGCAGTGGGTGCTGCCTTGGGCTGGAAGGGAACGGAGACCTGAGCGGTCCTGGCCCTGGTGAAGGGCAGCGGCTGCGAGCATTCAGACAAGTCTGGGGAAGAAATCAGACTTCTCCCAAGTTGGGCTGAGGAGGAGCAATTACAGCCTTTTCCTAAGGAAGGAAAGAAAAACAGATTTGAGTCTGTATTCCTGGCCCATGAGTCAGTTGTAGAGTATGTCAGCACCTGCAGAGGCTTTAAACTGGGGCTGATCGCAGGAGTGTCGCCCCCACTCCGACCCCTGTCTCCTCACACCCATGGGCCACCCCCCACAACTGTAGGGAGGACACAGCAGTCTAGGAAAGTGCTCTGCCCCTGTTCTTGGGGGCATCCTCCTTGCTGCATCTGGAATGCGACTGACTTAGCAGGGAGCAAGAAGCAGTTGAGCAAATATTCAGGGGCTCCGGAGGCTGGCGGCCCCTGCTGTCCCCATGAAGAGGAGGGGTCACCACCTGACCCAGCTCTGCTGGGCCCCTGGCCACGCTGGGTGCCTTCCCTTCTCCATTTCAGTTAAGATGTCACCATTATGGGAACTCCAGCGGAGAAGTCTCTAATGGGGTCAGAGCCCTGAGCACTAACACTAAATGCTTTAGCCTTCTCCTGGGGACGGATGGCCATTGTTCTTAGTCTGGGTATGTTAAGTTGCTGTGCCCTTTGCTGAAAGATAATTTGCATCTCTGCCCTGAGGGAGAATGAATCACATTGATAATTCTCTTGATTAAAGCCCATTTATTTAGGATCCTGCTTGAGGTTGTTTTTTAATAGATGGATTAGGGAGTAATTCAAAAAAGACAAAAGGGTACAGTAATTGGGTTTCCCCTTGGCCTGCAAATGTTATCATCAGAGAAAGTAGTAAGAGGGGCTAGGACTCACAAGGTTTGGTCAAACGGTTGCCTGGGAAGCCTACAGTGATGAAGGGGGAGGAGAGCAGCCCTGAAGCACAGGGCTAGCTCCATTCAACTTCTCCACCAAGCAAATGGAAAATCCCAAGGCGCGGAGGACTGAAAGGATGAACCACAGGCTGCAAGACCATGACAGAACAGGCAAGGAGCCCTTTTCCCTGCACTGCCAGTGGCTCCATCCCCCAACGGTGCTGCCTCTTTTGCATTTCAGCAACAGAATTTTGCCTGAACCCCCAGGTTATGGGGTGACCTACAAGCCACACTCAAAAGCAGATGAACGGAGAGGCAGAGCCCATGTTAACTTTGCGCCTGGACCCAGACAGGTTGAGGCCCTGAGCCAACAGTCTGGCTTTGAGATGCTGTTGTGAATGTGCTTGGCCAGAAGCCAAGTGAGACCAACCAGACACCCAAGAGGTGGTCTGCAGCCATGGAGGAGGGTTCATCCTGGCCTCAGTAGCCACAACCCTACATCCTACCTAGGGATCTCCAGACCAAGGTGCTCTCACTCTGATGTGTGACCTGGGAAGAGCTCTTCATGTCTCCAGGCCTCAGTCTCCTTAGCTGTACAAAACACTGGTGGGGATAGTTTGGATAGGCCTGTTGGGACACCCTTACCTGCCTTATCAAAAGCTGCAACAAGCATTTTTAAATGCTGCCAAATCTGTCAACACTTCTTGTGCGGCTTGAAGGAGAAGCTCTCAGATCTGATTAAGCTCATCCTCGCAGTGGACTCACTTCTACTGGGCTGGAGACATCCCTCTGGGTATGCCCCTGGAACAGAGCCAAGCTTCCCCTTCCAGGGGAAAGAAGTGGGGCTTATGGAGAAGGCTAGGTTGGCTGTAGGGCTGAGCAGAGGAGCAGGAGGGAGGCTGCCTTCAGGGGCCACAGTTCCTTGCCCAGATGCCTGAATTCTTAAGTCTTTCATTTCATAAAAGATACAAGAAAATGGGGCATCTAGGCAGGACACAGTGGCTCAAGCCTATAATCCCAGCACTTTGGGAGGCCGAGGTGTGTGGCTCACCTGAGGTCAGGAGTTCGAGACCAGCCTGGCCAACATGGTGAAACCCTGTCTCTACTAAAAATACAAAAACTTAGCCAGGCATGGTGGAGTGCACCTGTAATCCCAGCTACTCGGGAGGTTGAGGCAGGAGAATCGCTTGAACCCAGGCGGTGGACATTGCAGTGAGCCGAGATTGTGCCAGTGCACTATAGCCTAGGCAACAGAGTGAGACTCCTTCAAGAAAGGAAAGAAAGAAAAAAAGAAAAGAAAAGAAAAGAAAGAGGGAGGGATGGAGGGAGGGGAGGGAAGGGGAAGGGAGGGGAGGGAAAAAAATAAAATAGGGCATCTAAACCACCACCTTGAAAACACAGAACTGGGGCTGCCCAGGAGTCCACAGGCCCTAAATTTGGGCCAGATCTTTCAAATATCACCATATTAGCTCCATATAATCCCCCTTTCCTATTCCCCTCTCTCTTCTTCTTCTCCTCCTCCTCCTCACTTCCCATTTGGCTGTCCAAAAGCAAATTTAAACAGCCTGATCAGACTTCTAGAGGCTGCAGAAAGCATCTTGGGGCTGCAGATATGAGAATTTGGAAATCAGTTCTGCTGAGCCCCTTAAAAGAGGAAGCTCGCAGGATGCAAGGCTTTCTAGCTGGAAGGATCCTCGTTTCACTCTGGTCAGAAATCTCACAGTGGCCTCCCCAAGAGGCTGTATGACCCCCCAACCCCAGGATCCTTATTGTATGACCCTATCAGGAAGTGCTTCCCTCCGTGTCTCCACATTGGAGACCAAGTCAATACTCCAATGCCATGTGGGGCCAAACCCATCGTGATCAGGAGGCCCTGGTCCCGGGTCCTTCAGCTACGAGGACTCACAGCAGAAATTCAGCTCATTAGAAAGGGGAGTGCTGGGCCATGGGCTGAAGAGAAGGCTCTCAGGTAAAGGGCCTGAGGGAAGGTCTGACCCCTCTATGCACCCAGGAGACTCTGGCAATTCAGCTTCCCTGGGAATAAAGCTGTGAGAGCGCACATCTTCTCAGGAGGGGAGGGAAGGAGCTCTGAGGTCAGCTGAGCCTATGCCTGGCCAGACACAGGCTAGCTGTGACCACAGACAGAGAGCCCAGTGCCAGGCCCACCACGGGCCCAGCTGCCATGACTCTGCACACTCTAATTACATACTGGGACACTAAACTGCATGTCTGGCCCAGAAATCACTGCTTCCTCCAAAGCAGGCTCTCTGAAGGCATTACCTGTCTCGCCCAGCCCAGGTAGAAGGAAGATGGCAAGTTGGTGCAGCCAGGCAAGGGTCTGGATGCATTCTGACTCCCACTCCAGCCCTGTCTGTTTCACACCCCCTCCTCCCCATGCTCCATCTCCCCACTGCTGGGCACACATTCCCCCACCACTGTCTCAGTTCCCCTAGAGCTCAGATTAAAGAAACAGCTGGGGCTTCCATAACAAAATAGCATAGACTGAGTGGCTTAGCAACACAAATTTATTTCTCACCTCTCCAGAGGCTGGAAGTTTCAGATCCAGGTGCCAGAATGTCCGGGCTCTGGTGAGGGCTGTCATCCTGACTGGGAGAGAGCTGCCTTCTCACTGTGTCCTCACGTGGTAGAGAGAGCGTGTTCTGGTCTCTTCCTTTTCTTATAAGGACACTAATCCCATCACGGTGGACTCGCCCTCATGACTCCATCTAAGTGAAATCAGCTCCCCAAGCCCTTACCTCCTAATACCATCACATTTTGGGTTAGGGTTTCAACACATGAATTTTGGGAAGACACAAGCATTCAGTCCATAATAGACCATACCAGCTTGCGGCTTTCTTCCTAAACACACACAGCTCTATCCTGGCCCCGTCTCCTAAGTGCCAGGCCCTCTACTTGTCCTTCCCAATGGATGCGGGAATCAGATGGGGCAAGGATGGATACAAAGTGATCTGCAGAGCCTGGCCACACCTCTTCTGACCCTTGCCACACTGATGACTTTGCCACAGGCCTTACCTGGTTCACTTCCCGCCAGTTCCAACTCTCATCAGATCCGAACAGCTTGTTATTATCTTTCTATTTTGCTGCCATGATGGGTAGCATAGTCCTCATAGCATGCCCCTCAGACATGGCCACAAGTGAGCAGTGCCATCCCTGGCCTCCCTCGGGAGCCTGGCTCCCTCTGCTATAGAAGAGATTGCATGCTCTCACTGGGCTCGGCTTTCATGGCAGTTGAATAAGATGGTGCATGTGCAGACACCTAACACAGCAACTGAGCCCTGGGAGGGTGCTCAGCTACTATCTGTGGAACCCAAGGGGCAGTCTGGGGAAATCCCAGAATAACTGTGCACCCCATCTCTGACTGACTGCCCCTACATGGATCATCTTCCCGGGCCCTGAGACCGGTAGAGGCAGAAATGGTGGGTTCCTCAGCCCTCTGGAACCCTGCCTGCATGAAGTCCAAGTTTCCATGGCCAGCTGGGGTTGGAGGTGCCAACAGAGCAAGGCCCAGGCAAGTCACTTTCCACCCCTGAGCCCCTGACTCTTCATCAGTAAACTGCTGATTTAAAATCCCCTCACCCCAAGACTGGTGGCTGTTCTCTTTAGAAAATGCCAAGAGACTCTGCACAGCAATGGGAACTTTGGTTTCCTCTTGGCTGTCTTGGAAAAGCAAGGAACTAACAGGAGAGAAAAAGAGCAGCCCCAGAAAAGAATGAACCTCATTCAGGGTCTCAGCTTGGTACCCAGACAGACAAGCAGAAGGCCTTTCCAGAAGTTGCCAGAGCCAGGCTTCTAGGCCCTGCTGGGTGGGGAAGGCTTGTGGTTTCTGCTTTTGCTAAGGCAGCAAAGGCCAAGGAGCAATTTAGTTCAGAGACTTGCCTGTGGCTGAGGCTGGCTGAGGGTGTCTGAGAACCCCTTGCCAGGGCACACCCTTGGCAGTTTGGGAGCCAGAGAACAGAGTGTACTCTTGTGAGTTGCTGCATCTCTGTTTTGAAAATTTTGAGTTGGGGTGCAGCCGACCTCCTGTGTCCCTTCATAAATCCTGTTCCACTGTGGATCAGCTTCCTCCCCCATACAGGGAAGGACTGGCCTGGGTGTTCCCTTATAGTTCTAGTTGCACCATTCCAGGTCAGTTTTAGACTTATTAAGAGTAAGAGTACGTGAGCAGACATCTGGACACACACACACATCGGGACATATACCACGCACAGGCCAGCACCTTCACACACAAACATAAACATACAAACACAGGCAGGGATCCCAATTCAGTTTTCAGAAAAATGGAACTCGGCTGGGTGCAGCGTCTCACACCTGTAATGCCGGCACTTTGGGAGGCTGAGGCAGGTGCATCACTTGAGGTCAGGATTTCCAGACCAGCATGGCCAACATGGCAAAATCCCCTCTACTAAAAATTAAAAAATTAGCCAGGCGTGGTGGCACATGTCTGTAATCCCAGCTACTCGGGAGGCTGAAGCAGGAGAATCGCTTGAAACCAGGAGACACAGGTTGCAGTGAGCTGAGATCGTGCCTTCAGCCTGGGCAACACAGAGTGCGACTATATCTTAAAAAAAAAAAAAAAAGAGAAAGAAAGGAACTGAACTCAAATTTTCAGGGCCATTAACATTTTGAAAAATACTTTCCTTCTGCTTTTTGGGATTGAGGCCAGGTTACACTGTTCCCAGGGAGTAAGACAGGGTTACAGAGAGGCAGGTTTTTTTTGTTTTTGTTTTTGTTTTTTTCTTCTCTCTCCCTCTCTTTTGATTTATTGCTTTCCTTAAAAAGAAAAGGAAGTAGGATTAATTTATTCTCAACAGTGAAAAATGCTACCTCTTTCCCAAAGTAGTTGAATTGATTTTGTTCAATATTTGGAGGAGGCCAATTTACCAGGTCTTGATAAAGAGATGAAGGGAGCAGCTCTTGGTTTTTAGCTGTGTCCCTCCCTGTAAGTCAGCAAGGAGGGCAAGCAATGCTGGTCCCCAAACAACCCTCTAGGATGACCCTCTGGACACCAAACTTGACCCTGCCACATTCATTACAGGTCCTGCTAGGGAGAATTGTAGACTCCTAGAAGACCGGGTGGCAGAACACATTAAAATGACAGGTCAAGACCAGAAGGAAGGGCCACCAGAGCCACAGGGGTTCATTTTCCCATGAAAGGTAAAGGAGAGGTCCCTTCAGGTTGAAGTGTTCGGGGAAGAGTTTGTAGAGGAGACGAAATTTTAGCTGGCCTGAAAGCTGTGCCTAGTGACTGGTCAAAAGAAGAGAAGAAGGAATTCCAGGAAAGGGGACCAGCAGGAGTGAAGGCAAGGAGACCTGGACTTCTTTGAAAGGTCTCCTGAGTTCAGGGTCTGAGGAGTGGCCCAATGGGACCACAAAAAAGAGCTTTCTGGGGAGTGATGCAAGAAGAGAGGTTGAACTTCATCCAAAGGGCAATGGGATGAGAGGGGAAGCATTGCAGATATTTAAGTAGAAAAGAGCTACAGGCAACTAATATTTTAAGAGCAGTAACTCTTAAGATGTTGGCAGGGTGACCGGAAAGGGACAAACCCTTTGACCACTTTCACACAAAATCATGCTCAAGAAGCCTTTTCTAAAGGGCCTGGGTAGCGTCAACACCACAAGGTTACAGCTGAGGCTGCCTGATGCCAGCCAGAAAGGTTAACACAGTCTCACATCCTGCTGCTCTTTGTAAGAGCTTGGGATGACACGTTTCTTATTTGCCTGCTCATAATTTTCATTCAACTAAGTATGGAAATACAATATTCACTATTTTTTTCTTTTATTTATTTATTTATTTACTTTTATTTTTTGAGACGGAGTTTCCCTCTTGTTGCCCAGGCTGGAGTGCAATGGCACAATCTCCACTCACTGCAACATCTGCCTCCCCAGTTCAAGCGATTCTCCTGCCTCAGCCTCCCGAGTAGTTAGGATTATAGGAACTTGCCACCATGCCTGGCTAATTTTTTGTATTTTTAGTAGAGACAGGGTTTCACCATGTTGGCCAGGCTGGTCTTGAACTCCTAACTTCAGGTGATCTGCCTGCCTCGGCCTCCCAAAGTGCTGGGCGTGATTACAGGTGTGAACCACCACGCCCAGCCACTTTTTAATTTTTTTAGAGACAGGGTCTTGCTCTGTCATCTAGGCTGGCTCATAGCTCACTGCAGCCTCAAACTCTTGGCCTCAAGCAATCCTCCCACCTTGGCCTCCCAAGTAGCTGGGATTCTGGCATGAGTCACAACACTTGGCAACTATTTTCTTTTTTCATTCAGCATTTTCAATCCGAGTCTGGACCCTCGAAACTATTATCATTAAGACTTTTATTATGACTGGTTTATGCCAACCTCTCCTACAAGAGGGTGAACTTCTCAACAGGCAGAAATGCTCTCCTTCATCTCTGCCTCCCTAACCCCTAGCACAGAGACTGGCCTGTAGCAGAACTAAACAGATGATAAATTGGTCAAATCAGGTAATAGCATCTTAATTACCATGCTATTTGCTCTAGTGGAAGTCTTGTCAATGATTTATTTTGCTTTAGAGGTTAAACTAGAGAAGTTGATATCCTTTATTTACCTTAATAATAAACTTGAACTATCAGGCCCTCTAATCCCGAAATTTTTTATTTTTAAATGTTTTGTAAGACTAGTCAAGTGCAGTAGCGAGAAGGGGGAAAAGTGTAGAACAAGGGGTTCAGTCTGTAACTGACTGTGAACAATCAATGCGATAACTCACTACCTTCAGACCAGCTGTTTTTTGTTTTTTTTGTTTTTTTGTTTTTTTTTGTTTTTTTTCAGTCTTGCTCTGTCGCCAGGCTGGAGTGCAGTGGCGCAATCTCGGCTCACTCCAGCCTCCACTTCCCAGGTTCAAGTGATTATCCTGCCTCAGCTTCCCAAGTAGCTGGGACTACAGGCATGCACCACCACGCCCAGCTAATTTTTGTATTATTAGTAGAGACGGGGTTTCATCATGTTGGCCAGGATGGTCTCGATCTTTTGACCTCATGATCCGCCCCCCTCAGCCTCCCAAAGTGCTGGGATTACAGGCGTGAGCCACTGCGCCTGGCCTGAAATTTTTTTTTTTTTAAGAAAAGGCTAATTCTGGGCTTAAAAAGTATTCAACTGGACATCTGCAGCAGAGAAATTCTTTTAAACAGGTCAGAGCCCAAAGCCCATTGAATAGTTCGTCTGCTTCCAGCCCATGATGACTGAAGCTGAGGACACAGGAATGCCCGTCCTGCCTGCTGGGGATACCACCTTCCTCTAGGCATTGTAAGCCAGGCATTGCAGTAGGTAAAACTGCAAGCCCCCAGCTAATTCTGAAAAACACTCTTGTTGCAGGTGGAGCTCCCCAGAAGCAGACTGCAGAGAACGGAGTGCAGGAAGATTCCCAAAGAGAGCCTCGGGATGAACGCCTACGGAGAAGGTGGCAGTGGGATCAGGCAGATGGAGAGGCTGGCTGCGATGCAGTCACAACCAGGCCTCCACTGAGCCCACGAGGAACCCTGAAACTGGGATGGCCCTTCAGAGTTATCCCCAGCTGGAGCATGGACCAGGCCTTTACATCTTCCCCTTCGATCAGGTAGGCTGCCCCTAAGGCGGGACATAACCTTGGGTAAGGCAGCTGTCCCCAGGGAGGCCAGCAGCAGCAGCAGCAGCAGCAGTCTCCATAACTGGAGATTAAGACCTTCCATCCCGAGTGTGGGTCTCAGCTCAGCCCAGCATCCACTGCAACCTTGAATGACCTGTGCAGCTTCCCAGGTGCATGGAGGACACCTGGGCCTGGAGAGAAGGACTAAGTAGAGTGACTTGGAGAAAGCTCTGCCTTCAAATCTTGGCTCTGCCACTTACCTGCTGTGTCTGTTTAGGTTAATACCAAACTTTCTGAGTCTCAGTTTCTTCATTTGTAAAATGGCAATAATATCCACCTCATAGGGTTTTTAAAAAATCAAAGAAGTATAAAACACGCTCTGGCACAGTCCAATCTTTTGTAAATAGTGCTGGTAATGGGTGACCATAGTAATTGTTGCTATCTCAACAGCCACAGAGGCAAGATGATCCCCTGGTACCTGTGCCAGAACTCCCAGAAGGGAGCTATGCCAAAGTCTAGGTCAAAAGCTAGTAGGTATATGGACTGTTGGGCCCCAGGGGGTCTGAGAGAGTAGCTACTCATCTTCTTAAATCCCAGGCCAGTGTCCTGCTGGGATCAAGGATACTGCTGTAGAGAAGTCATCAGGAAAAAGGACAATACTGGGGAAAGGGGTTTCAGCTGCTCTTGCTGACAGAACACATGGCATCCTCCATGTGCCAGGCACAGAGAGGGTGGAGCCGTGGGCGGGTGGGACAGTCCCTGTGCAGGCTGCGGGCATCTTCATGCTGCTGGCCTGTCCACGGGCTGTGACCACATGACAGATGAGGGGGGCTTAGATTTCTCTGTCTCCTCTTTCAGTTGACAAGTGGAAAGCTACCTAGCTGGGACCCCTTCCAAGCACACGGGAAGTGCAAAACGTAACACCATAACCAAGGCCGAGACTGGATGCTGGAATTCTGACCTTCCCTTTGGGGGATGGATTGGGAACTTCCCTTGGGGGCTGGAGCATTTGGTGGTGCTGAGATTGCTCATTCTTTCCACTCTCCTAGACAGGAGGTCCCATGTGGATTCTGGAATCAGAAAAGCCTGCTTCCTGAGTTTGAATCCAGTCTTCATCCTTCAACTGTGGGACCCTGGACAAGAACCAACATCTTCCAGCAGAGACCACCAAGAACACACTTGTGGTTGAATAAGCCAGGTTTATTAATTACTGCAGTGAGAGAGAATACACACCAGGGTGTCTTAGTAAGAGGGAGTTAGACAAAACCTATGATAGAATTGGGGTTGGTATGAGAGATTTGGGGGGAGGGTAAGTGTATTAGTCCATTTTCACGCTGCTGATGAAGACATACCTGAGACTGGGAAGAAAAAGAGGTTCAATTGGACTTGCAGTTCCACATGGCTGGGGAGGCCTCAGAATCATGGTGGGAGGTGAAAGGCACTTCTTACATGGTGGTGGCAAGAGAAAATGAGCAAGAAGCAAAAATGGAAACCCCTGATAAAACCATCAGATTTTATGAGACTTATTCATTACCACAAGAATAGCACAGGCAAGATCAGCCCCCCATAATTCAATTACCTCCCCCTGGGTCCCTCCCACAACCCATGGGAATTCTGAGAGGTACAATTCAAGTTGAGATTTGGGTGGGGACACGGCCAAACCATATCAGTAAGGAAGTGGCAGTTTACTTTCAATTGGCAGCTGTAAGAAACTGGGGGCAATTCTGTGACGCAGTGTCTCAATAAATCACATCTATAAGGAAGGGAGATGGCAACAAGGATACAGCTGTAGCAGGAAAAGAAGTAACAGTCACTCATTTTGGCCAAGAGGGGGTGTTTGGTATTTCGCTGTGGTACACTGACATTGTTTTTGTCGGTGCTTAGAAAAAATTATGACACGGTCTTGCTTTGTCTCATTTTATCATAGTCTCAGCGTAGCCTTGTCTGAGGTCAGCACCCTGTGAGGGTGTTTATGTCCTGGAGGACAAGAACACAGGCTAGCCGTGAATGGAAGGCCAGCTTCCAAATCTCAGGGGCTTTTTTCCTTCCTCACAGGTTACTAAATCCCTCCATGTATAAATCTCTCCACCATAAAATGGGGGTAAGAAGGCCGGGCGCGGTGGCTCATGCCTGTAATCCCAGAACTTTGGAAGGCCGAGGCGGGTGGATCACCTGAGGTGAGGAGTTTGAGACCAGCCTGACTAACATGGTGAAATCCTGTCTCTACTAAATACAAAAAATTAGCCAGGCACGGTGGCGGGTGCCTCTAATCCCAGCTACTTGGGAGGCTGAGGCAGGAGAATTGCTTGAACCCAGGAGGTGGAGGTTACAGTAAGCTGAGGTTGCGCCATTGTACTCTAGCCTGGGCAACAGGAGCAAAACTCCATCTCATAAATAAATAAATAAATAAATAAATAAATAAATAAATAAATAAAATGGGGGTAAGAGCTCTACCTTGTAGGGCAGTTTTGAAGAATGCATAAGACGATGTGACACAGAGGGCAACAGCTCATTTCGTGTTATTCTTCCCCCACGAACCCCATGAGAACACCACACAGCAGCTGCTCGAACACCAATTTTATAGGTTGGGAAACTAGATGGAAAAGGTCAGTGCATTTTGATGGAAATCAGAAGTGAAATAGCCATCCATGCTAAGACTGCAACTAAGCTTCCCATTTTGAGCGCCAGCAGCAAATAACCACCAGCAATTGACACGGGGGTGGCCAGCTCGGCACAGGGTCACAGTGGGGTTGGAGTACTGTCCAGGACCTGGTTTTGGGGAAACTGGGGGCACCATCGGGACCTGGGGGGTGGGGAGTGGTCATCACTGGAACCGTGATGCCTGTGTTTCACTTGGCAGCTTTCGCACTGAGCTCACAGAGAGATGGCCTTAGGCGCAGAATCCAGAGAGCACCCCTGGGAATAGAGTGCACCCTGACTCTGGGTCAGGGACTGAGCAGGGACCAGAACCAACTTCTTTTCTTTCCCACACATCATCTTGTCTGCTAATAATAGAGTTCATCACCAGTGAGATTTCCAGAATAAAGCCCACCCAGCTTTTTCCCCTAATTATATCCTCTCCCTGGTAATTGCAGAGTTGTTCAGGGCCTGCATCTGGCTTGTAAGAGCATTTCCAGGAAAACCAGATTGAGTACCACCTCTCACTTGATAGAACAAAAGGAAAGTTGCACACTTTGAAGGCTCAGCTTCTCCAGTAGAAAGTAACCTGTGGGGCTATAGAAAGGCACCAGGTATGGAATCCCAAGTCAGTTCCTTCTCAGCTATATGGATTTAGGAATACATTCAGCCTCAACATGCTCAGCTGTAAAATGGGAATAAAAAAACTGCACTACCCTTCATATTCCCGAAGACTGTTGCAAAAATGATCTTTATGGATTCACATGTAAAAAGAACTGCACAATAATAAAAAAGTATTTCCTATACAGTGATTTTGTTTACCAGCAAATAAAACAGATTTGACACAAAATGAAAAGGTCATATATTATAACTAAAGTCTCCTTGGTGATATAACTAATGCTCTTCTTTAATGTTACCTAATGATGGTTAAATCTAGGAATCTGCTCTTTAAGAAATCACCAAAAAACCATCTGGGATGTCCGGGCTCTGCTTAGTAAGGCAGAGAAGTTGACTCTTACATATTATTTGATCCATCCATTGGCTATAGTTTGTATATTGTTCCCCACCAAATCTCATGTTGAACTGTAATCCCTAATGCTGGAGGTGGGGCCTGGTGGAAAGTGTCTGGCTTATGGGGGCAGACCTCTCATGACTTTGTGTTGTCTTCAGATGGTTAGTTCTCATGAGATCTGGTCATTTAAAAGTGTGTGGCGCCTTCTCCCCGACCTTGCTCCCATTCTCACCATGTGATGTGCCTGCTTGGCCTTCGCCTTCCGCCATGATTGGAAGCTTCCTGAGGCCTCCCCAGAAGCAGATGCCACTATGCTTCCTGTACAGCCTGCAGAAACATAAGCCAATTAAACCTCTTTTCTTTATAAATTTCCCAGTCTCAGGTATTTCTTTATAGTAGTGCAAGAACAGTCTAATAAACCATTCAACAAAGATTTGTGGAGTATCTACTCAGCGCCAGCTTCAGTTCTAGGAGATGGGATAGAAATTGGGAAATAAATTCATCAAGAAGCCCTGAAAACCAACTCTTCAGGCTTCAGAGTGACTGAAATTGCTCTTTCTCTGGCCCTGACCATCCACGGCCCATCTGAGGCTGCAGATATCCAGATCTCCAGCAGGGCCCAAAGGGTTTCATCCATACATGTCCTTATGGATGAAGGTCCTTATGAAGTTGCCACGAAGATTACAACCTGGACTATAGCCTTGGGCTGAAAGTGACTGAGAGCAAGACAGGATAGATGATACTAAGGAGGGTCCCAAGTTGGGGTAGCATCCTCACCCCATCTGAGGGAGAGGCTGATTTCTGGTCAGCTTTTCTTCTTCATGCAGCCCCAGGGCTGAACAGAGCTCGTCCTCATTGTATGACATTCCCTTAGAGCAGCTCCACATTCTCATCTCTTCAGTGTGAAACTCCAAGCCACCTCCCTGAGCAAATGGTCTAACCCTAGTGTGCTCCACCCTTTCCATTTTCTTCCCCAGTCAGGCAATCTGGAAGACACCAGAATCCAGAACAGTCTATTTCCCAAAGTCTGAATCATTTTGTTTGCTCTAGTCCAATGCCATTGTTGGCCTTGGGGGAAGGCAGGGGTGATCAGCAGAATAAGTCAAATTGGACTTCGGCTTAGGGACACTAGTCAAGTTGGGCTTGGGCTTAGGGACAGGACATTTCGTTCTTTTTCTAGGTCTCCTACCAGTATACAGTCCTCATGAGGTCACCTCTGGGACTTCAGGGTCACACTCTGCCCTGAGTACTCCCCCAGCTGCACTGTGACCGGCCTTGCCCCAGCCTCAGCCTCTTGCCCAGATACAACCCTGAGAACTGGTGGTTAATGGTCAAATCTGACAAGACAGTGGAGCTGGGACTCCTGCCCCAGCTTGCAGATCTCTGCTTCCTGCAACTGCCTACCTGAACATGGGCTTCTGAGACCCACAGTCCTCATTCTCTCAGGTCATCAAACAGATAATGATCCGCTCAAACACACACACATATAAAGGGACACAAATCCACACATGGAGGCACACAATTTATACACACATAAGCACACACACACGTCGCTCAAAGCACAAACTTTAATTCCCAGAGTCATGATGTATAGTGAAGGAAGAGGAAACAGTGCTTTTTGAAGCGTGATCAGCCTGCCCTGCTCCCCAGCCCACTGCAGAGCACGTTCATTCCCCTTTGTTCTTCTTCCTGTTTTAAGACTGTGTCCCTATTGGTGCATCAGAAATAGGACCATTACAGAGTCATCCACCCGCCCCCATACCCATCACTTAATCCCCAAAGGCCTGGCAGAAGCTTCCATTATTCCCTTTGGGCTCTTTGGGTCAGGTCACATTCTTGAGATCTTTTATACTCTTGTCCAAATAACCCCTGTGGGCTTTGCTCGTCCGGTTAGGCAGGCAATGAAAGAATCATTTTCGCCAGGATCACTCTGCAGAATATAAATGTGGGTGAGTGTGTGGAAGGGAAAGACCATGTGCTTGGGTGAGCTCATTAAGGAACAGTCCAGGCAAACACTGCCCAGTCCTCCCAAGGTCACCTCTGGGACTTCAGGGTCACACTCTGCCCTGAGTGCTCCCCCAGCTGTGCTGTGACCGGCCTTGCTCTGGCCTCAGTCTATTGCCCAGACACAGGCCTGAGGATTAGCAGTTAATGGTCAAACCCCACAAGACAGTGGAGCTGGGGCTCCTGCTCCAGCTTCCAGATCTCCACTTCCTGCTACTGCTTACCTGAACACAGGCTTCTGAGACCCACAGCCCTGAGAGGGTGGGCTGAGCCTGCAGGGCCCGTGACCCTGGATCCCCAAGCTCAAGCCCCCCAAATCCAGGGCAGCAAGCAGCCTGGTGGTTTGTGTCCTGCAGCTATTTTCAAAACACCTAGAGGGCCCAGCATGGTGGCTCACACCTGTAATCCCAGCACTTTGGGAGGCCAAGGTGGGTGGATCACTTGAAGTCAGGAGTTTGAGACCACCCTGGCCAAGATGGTGAAATCCCGTCTCTACTAAAAATACAAAAAATTAGCCAGGCATGGTGGCGCATGTAATCCCAGTTACTCGGGAGGCTGAGGCAGGAGAATCACTTAAACCCAGGAGGCAGAGGTTGCAATGAGCCAAGATCGTGCCACTGCACTCCAGCCTGGGCAGCAGAGCGAGACTTCGTCTCAAAACAAACAAACACCTAGAAAATGTTTGCTCCCAGCTAGAATTCATGTTGAGATGGGAGGACTCGAAGAGGAATAGAGCTGGGGTGGCTCCTCAAGCCTGGGCTAAGAAGACGTGCCTATGGTGGAGTTTCCAAGGCAGAAGATAGGAAATCCCAAAAGGCCAGGGAGATGGCAGCCCTACTTGGCTTGGCATTGGTCAGTCTACAGCTGGAGTTTGGGGGTCCTGGTGTTCCAGCTCTGGAACTTGCTCCTTCAGGAGCCGCCTTGGACAGAGGAGGGTGAAGCCTTCACAGTCACTTCTAGCAGGGACAGCCAAGTGCTGACCCAAGGGTGGCTGGCCTGGAGCCCAGCAGATATTAGACTTAAACGTCCACAGTCAGAGGAGAGCAGGGTGAGGCTCCAGATGGCAGAGCTGGGGCCCCTCAGTAGACGGAACAGGGGGGCGGCCTCTCCCTACAGGAAGGCAGCCTTATCCAAGGCTGGAGATGGTGCTCTCCTGAGGGCACACAGGCCCTGTTTCTGGAGGGGTGGAACTTGGGCCAGGGTGGCACCTTGGCAGAACTGCTCTGGGAAGTACCCTTCATGGGAAGCTGGGCTCAGTCAACTTTGAGATCTCTCCCACTCAAGAGGCCTTGGTTCTGAGTCTGTGGATGGGCTGAATTACTTATTGAGTGGAGGGTCCCGGCCTTCCCAGCAGCATCAAAGCCTCATGTCCCTGCAGGGCATTCCTGAGTAGCTTTTATCCTTTTATCTTGGGCTTTGAAGGAAGAACAATAATCCCGTGCATAAATTTAAAAATCTTGTAGTAGCCACAGGCTTTGAACATACACTTCACCCTCCCTACCACCCTGCAGGCTCCCAGAGGCTCCTCGGGCTGGAAATGGGGACAGCAGAGGTCTAACACCTGGCTCAGCCTCCGCTGGGCAACAAAGCCCTTTGGCAAAGGGCGGAACTGGCATTTGGGACAGTTGGATTTGGCTTCCAGTCACTTGGAACCCTCCATAATAGCCATGACTTCAGGAGATTCTATGAAGACATGATGAGACCACAGCCACCTTGATGCCTTTCCAAGATGTCTTATCTTAGGTGCAGAGGCATTTTGGGTGAAGTCATTTCTAAGGGGAACCCCTTCCCATTTTTCAGTTCCTGAATAAATCAGAAGTTTGGATGGTTTAGAGAATCCACTTATCATCTGGATCAGTTAGTTAAGCAACTGGTTAAACTGCTCTGGATCTCAATCTTCTCATCTGACAAATAAAGATCACATAATCCAGCACTGGCATTCTGTGCTCCTGGGACTGTTTCTGTGTGGTGTCTGTGTGCTGAGCTCCAGGGAATCAGCCCTCAGCCCTGCTTGAAATAAAGCAGAGAAAGACATCCCTCCCCAAGGGGACACTGGGACCTCTGACTCCTCTGGGCTTTCCAAGTCAGTGGACCAGAGCTCTCAATGCAGATTGCCAACTGGAAGAGTTGAAGCCAAGGCTAAGCCATCTCTAGTAAAGGACACTATAGAGAGGACTTCTTGTTTGGGACACACACACATACACACACACTCCTTTCAGAACACAAACCACCTCTGATTCAACTTGGAATTCCTAGTTTTAAGCACAGGGTGTGGCATAAGGCAGTTGCTCCATAAAGAGGTGGTGATGGATGAACAAAAAATGAAAGAACAAAAACCCATAAAACCTACTAAGGTTATCCTGCCAGTGTCCTGAAAACGTGCCATGTCCCATTCCAGTTAGTCCTCACATCTTTAATCTGAATGAATGTTTACTTAATTACTAAAATCTCTTAAGAACTTTATGGGAGAGAGATAGCAGGGGTCCAGGAGGATGACCTGGATTCTCACTCCTGCTCCTGATGAGCTGTGTGACCTTAAACAACCACCCAGCTTCGATGGGCCTCATTTTCCATCTTTAAAATGAGAGATTTGGACCAAATAACCTTGGATGTCCTGCTTCCTTCTGGCAGTTAATGAAAATTAAAATCAATAATATCTTACAGAAAAAAAATCAATTCTAATAGTGACATTGACTTTGAAATTGTAAAACATCTACCTTTCCAATCTGTGTTTTCTATTTGTTCAACTGAACACACGTTTTTAGTTTTTAAAAAAGCAGTGGCAAAGGTTAAGAATGACTCTGGGCCACCTTTAAAAATCTAATGAGTGCTTGTCCTATTAGTGAGAGCTAACCTCTGCCAGAAGGGTCCAGGGGCACATGCATGACTGCTTAATCGGACACCCTGAATTACACCCGGAAACTCACAGATGCAGAATTTCAAAAAGATTTTGGACCCCACTGACTCCATCCTGAGCTCCACTCTGGGCTCCATCTAAGAGCAGCAATAAACTATGAGAGCTGAGCAGCCTGGGCATAGCTTTCAAGGCCCCTTTTGATATAGTTTGCCTGTGTGTTCCCTCCAAATTTCATGTTGAAATGTGATTGCCAGCGTTGGAGGTGGAGCCTGGTGGGAGGTGATTGGATTATGGGGGCAGATCCCTCGTGAATGGTTTGACACCATCCCCTTAGTAATAAGTGAGTTCTCACTCAGTTCACTTAGGATATGGTTGTTTAAGAGTCGGGACCTCCACCTTCTCGCTCTCTTGTTCAGGCTCTCAGTATGTGACACCACCATGACTGGAAGTTTCCTTGGGCCCTCACAAGTAGCAGACACTGGCACCATGCTTCCTGTACAGCCTGCAGAATCATGAGCCAGTTAAGTATCTTTTCTTTATAAATTACCCAGCCTCAGGTATTCCTTTATAGTGACATAGAAATGGACTAACACACCTTCCCAAAGCCTGGCCACTCTGTTGTGTTTCAGAGGCAGAGGGAAGTGGCTTTACCCAGAATTGAGGGTGACTCTACCAATGACCAGCCCATCCTGCCAGACACAGGGTGAGTACAGACCCCTGAAATGCAAAGATGTACCCCTGTGAGTCTCTGGCACCAGGATCCTGCAGGCATGAAAACTCAGTGGCCTCCTTAAGAGAAATGAACAGGGCCTTGGATACTGAAGGAGGGCCCCAGCCCACCAAGAACAAAGTTCTTGAACCAAAGAGAGAGAAAAATACCCTTGGTCCTGAGAAGATGCTTGATATGGTTAGGCTTTGTGTCCCTACCCAAGTGTCATCTTGAATTGTGATAATAATCCCCATAATCCCCACTTGTCAAGGGAGAGACCAGGTGGAGGCAATTGAATCATGGGGCAGTTTCCCCCAGCTGCTGTTCTCGTGATAGTGAGTGAGTTCTCGGGAGATCTGATGTCTGATGGTTTTATAAGGGGCTCTTTCTCGCTTCCCTCGGCACTTCTCTTTCCTGCTGCCTTGTGAAGACAGTGCCTTGCTTTCCCTTTCCCATGATCGTAAGTTTCCCGAGGCCTCCCCAGCCATGCTAAACATTGAGTCAATCAAGCCTCTTTCCTTTATAAATTACCCAGCCTTGGGCAGTTCTTTATAGCAGTATGAAAACAGGCTAATACAATGCTCTAGTTGTAACTCATTCTGAGGTAGAAGAATTCTTGAGTTTAGCACTAAAGAGTTGGAAAATAACTGGCATCAGCAAAGGGTACTATGGGGGGTAGGAGAAGTGGGCACTTGGTGCCCACCAACCAAGCCAGGGAGACAGATGCCCCAAGTTCCTGGAAAAGGCAGGTGGAGGGTTCCCATGAGAACCATTCTTTTGAGGCCACTATTTACAAAGGATGCCATAAATATACCTTCCCATGCTAAAGACAGCAGCACACAGAGACAAGAAGTGGCAGGTAGCTGGCAGTGGCCACTGGCCACTCCCTGAGTTCACTTCAGATCCAGAGCCCAGCAACTGAAGCAGATCCAGATTAGGGCCAGGTAAGGAAGGGGCAACAGCACCGCAAATCCTGAGTGGCTGCCCAGGAGCCCCAGAAGCCCCGGTGAGCCATCCATAGCCCCGCACAGCAACTCAATTTGCCAGGTGAGTGACCAGAGCCAAGAGCCTTTATTGTTGCCCACAGTGTGGGTGGGCAGAGCCAGCTGCATAACGTGCCGACCCCGTACAAAATGAAAACGCGGTGCTCCTTGTTCAAGAATTATTAAGCATTTCAGGATGGCAACAGCATTGAGTTACACTAAGTGTGGGGCCCTCCTGAGCTCATGCCTATGATGCCAGCCCTGTCTGTGGGGTTTCCTGAGTCTGTGTAAGTCCTTCCCACTGGAGTTTGCTTTAATGTTTGAGGACAAGTTAATAATGCACACCATTTTGAATCTGCTTTGAAAAAAAAAGAAAGAAACAAAACTACAGCAACTAAAGTATTTCCATTCCACATATATTTATCGAGTGCCCATCTCATGCCAGGTACTATTCAAACTGCTTGGGATACCACAGTGAACAAAGGTCGGGGCCACCTGGCGCTTACCTGCCAGCAGGGGAAGAAGCATCTGGCTTCAGCGTCCCCTCAAAACCTTTCTGAGACAGCTTGCAGGCCAGCAGACCTGAGTTAGCTCCTTCATGAATCAATCTGTATCCCCAGAGAGTTGGACACTTTAATACTAAATTGTTCTTGGAGTTTTGTTCACATACGTTAGCTTCACCTCCATAGCAGGGCCCTAAGCTATTTGTCTTATAGGAAAGTTCCCTATTTAATCTGTTCAACAAATGTTTATTTAGCACTTGTGCCAGGCCCAGGTCTAGATGCTGGGGTTGCAAATAATTATAAGACACAGTCCCCGTACTCCAGGGGCTCCCGTTTCAGATGGGAGATGTGTAATTAATTAATGACTGCATTAAAGAGGACTAGAATGGGAACAAAGGAAAGAACAGTGTGTTTTGAGCAGAAGAGGGAGATAGAGGAGGTCAGGAAAGGTAGATGACACTTGAGTTCCGCTTTGAAGTCTTGGTGGGGACAAAGCACAGGCCTATCTCTTCACAGGGGCCTCTGCAAGGAGTGCCCAGTAGCTAGCTCCAGGCTCCCTTCCTCCCCCTGTAGAAGGGCCTGTTCTCCCCAGCACCTGGAAGGCCCTTCAGCAGGTCTTGCCTTGAGCACCCTGCCCATCTGATACTTGAATTCCCTCCAGAACATCTGAGTCCAGGTCATCCAGCTGTGGTATGAACATGATCAACGACAGGTAGCTAAGGGCCTCTGACTCGTGAGCTTTCGGAATATCCTGATAGCGATAATGCTCTTCCTTCTTTAGAGCCAAAATCTGCCTCTTGAACTTCCTTCTCAGTTCTGCCTTTGAGGCCCACACAGACTTGACTGATCAAGTCATTCTTTCACGAAATGTTCACTGCCCGTCCTTCCAAGGCAGAGCCAGCATGCTGGGTACAGGCCTTGCCTTCAGGAGCTCAGAGTCCAGTGTGTGGCTTTCGGAATACGATGGACATGTAGATCAAGGTGCTGGAGAGCACACAGGATGCTGGATTATCCACCCCAGTCCTGAGATGTCAAGTGAAGGCTTCCCTAGGAAGCAACAGCTTCCCCAAGACCTAAAGTAGTAACACCTGCCGGGGCCCCAAAGGCCCAGAAAAGCAGCCATTACCCATGAGAAATGGGGAGACTGTTGCCCTTTAAACACCATGTTTATTCCTGAGAAGAAAATACTGGAGGATTCTAATTGTGGCAGCCCTGCCCCCATCCTGTTTACCAACAACCCCAGACATTGGAGGAAGCATTGCCACAGAAAGCTCCCAGGGATGAGGAATTTCGCTGGGGGCCATGCCATGCCCCAGTACCTACTCACACAGGCGAGCCTGGTACACAGGAGGTGGACAGCCCACAGTGCATGGAATTGACCAGACAGCCTAGAGTGATTTTCCAAGCGTAAGTCCCCAGCTAGCTTTGCTATAAAGGGCTGGTGAAGCCGAGAAAGGAGAGAGACACAAGGGAAAGACAGGGTGGGCCTGACACCTTCATTTCGGGAAGCAGGTAAGGGAGGGTGTATCTCCTCACCTTCCTCCTCCCACCAGCTCTGAGCCCACAGCTGCAGAGGCCCAAGAGGATGAGTTAGACTAGGATGGGCTTTATTTCTTAAAGTCACAAAGACTGTGTGTAAGAAGCAGCAGGAAGTCTCTCCAAGAGGGAGCCTTGACCCCTCCTCAGGGAAGAGCACACACATTCCCTCAGTGCTGAGCTCTGAGCCCATCCTGCTGCTCCCACCACAAACCTGCCTACCCAGTGTACACATGAAATCCTAGCACCCTGCACCCACTACACACACCCAGGCAGGTGGTAGGACTGATGACAGGTAGCAGGAACCAGACTAATTGCCAGGGCACAGGGATCTAGATGGGGGCTGGATCAAATCCCGTGTGTAGATCTGCAGCCTGTCTGTCCTTGACAAGGAGCCAAAAATGTCCTTTCATTGGGGCCTGAACCCTTTTTCAGTGGCCCCAAGCTCTCCAATTTCTGCACCACCAGGATCTGCTGGGCTAGTCCTCCGCCCTCCAGGAAGCAAAGGCAGACGCAGCTCGAGCCCACCTCCTTGGACTCACATGGCATTTTTTTTTTTTTTTTTGAGATGGAGTCTCGCTCTGTCGCCCAGGCTGGAGTGCAGTGGCGGGATCTCGGCTCACTGCAAGCTCCGCCTCCCGGGTTCACGCCATTCTCCTGCCTCAGCCTCCCGAGTAGCTGGGACTACAGGCGCCCGCCACTACGCCCGGCTAATTTTTTGTATTTTTAGTAGAGACGGGGTTTCACCGTTTTAGCCGGGATGGTCTCGATCTCCTGACCTCGTGATCCGCCCGCCTCGGCCTCCCAAAGTGCTGGGATTACAGGCGTGAGCCACCGCGCCCGGCCCACATGGCATTTTAACACTTGGCCTAAAGATGAAGGAGGGGCCTGACAAATCTTAGCGTAATTTGAAGAGGATGAGTCAGAAGCCGGTTCAGGGATCCGTTCTAGATGCTTGTTTTCAGCCTGAGCTCTGAAATCAGACTTGATGCTTCCAAACAAGGTGAGCATGTGAGTGACTTGACCTCACCTTCTACCATGGACTGCCAGAGTGCAACCTCCCCAGGCCTGGAGATCACCAGGCCACAGACCCAACCTCTGGCCCAGACACCTCAGAACTTGGCATTTGGCACTGTCAAGCCAGTTCAGGCATCTATTTCTCAGTCCCTTGGGAAAAAGACCTGCAGAGTGAGACAGGAACAGCCAAGTCTCCATTCAGCAGCTGGTCCTCCCCTAGGACACTGCCCAGATCCCGTTAAGGTCAAGCATGACCAGGAACTCAAGCTCAAGGCTGGCTTCCCGAAAACACTGAAATGCGAGGAGGGCGAACCTAGAGGGATTTGCCTTGAATGAAAATTTCCACACTGCACCCCTGCCCTAGGCTTCTGCCCCTGACAATATAATTTTCTGCTCTCATTTAACAAGAAGTAAAAAAACAAAATTGGAGCCAACTCTGAACAAAAGCCTCTCCTCCAATCTAATCCTGCAATCTAATTAAGCCTGGCTTCTAGCTCTGTGCCAGGAGAACCAGTTTGCCCAGACTTAAAGCAATTACCAGCTCCCTTGCAGCAGGTTTGGTAAACTGCATAAATAGAGCTCTGGGCTTGTACTCTGCCAGGTGCTGTGGTCCTATGAGCGAGTCTCCTCACTCCTTTCTTTTCCCATTTCATGGTGGAGTCCCATGGTTTTGCTGAGCCACGTAAGAGGCAGGGGACTTGCTTTCTCAGGTCACAAATGCAGCAGCTGAGTCCTGGGCCTAGTAAGAGTGGGTCTTGCACACACAGGACTAATGGCTGGATCTTTTTAGCATGCATTTCTTGATCATTTATAGGTAATCAGCATTTTTCCTGCCATTCGCTTCACCTGGATAAGTTACTGACTCTCCTTCCGTCTGTGGCTATGTCAGCAAAATGAGGCTGGGCAGGCTGTCTGTGGCTTTGTGGCCTGGCCAGCCTGCTCCTCATATGAGACATTGGATCAACAGACTGGTATGGTACCAGTTCAGCCTCTGCTGAGGACTTGTGAGCACCATACCTCTAGGAAGAAAGTCTGCTGGTCCCCAGACCCCTGTAACTTTCCTTCCGCACTTAAGGGAGTCAGGCTCCGCCACCACTTCTTTTGGAACCTGAATGGTGGTCCCTGTTTCCCTGGATGCACTCACCTGCCAAATTCATCCTATGCAATTCTCAGAATCTCCAGTTTATCAGTGGCCCTTTATTTTCATTTTTTTAATTTTTATATTTTGAGATCAGTTCTCACTCTGTTATCCAGGCTGAAATGCAGTAACACAATCACAGCTCACTGCAGCCTCGACCTCCCAGGCTCAAATAATCCTCCCACCTCAGCCTCTAGAGTAGCTGGAACTACAGGCACATGCCACCACTCCTGCACTCCCAGCTAATTTTTTTTCTTTTTTTTTTTTTAATTTTATCAGAAAATTTAATTTCAGCCACATATCCACTGTTAGGACTTCCTTTCAGTGCCTAAGGTAGCACATTATATATTGTCGGTTCCTCATGAATATTTATTGCTTGATGAATGTTTCCATATTGGTTATCTTCCATACTCAAATGCAGGGGCTCAAAAATGTTATTCATTTTGTTTATGAAGAAATAGCCCAGAGATTCTTGAACTGGTCAATATTAGTAATGTTGGAAGACATTGTCTAGAAGATTGGTTTCCAGATTCTACTGTGCATCAGATTTATTTGAGCAGATTAAATAAACACACAAATTCCAAGAGCCTCCAAAAACATGAGTTAGAATCTATGGAAGGTGCGGCTTGAGAATTTGTATTTTGGATATGCAGAAATAGCTGAGAGGATATGATTTGGCTATCGATGTCTGGACCAATGTTTGTGAATTGTTGATTCTTCCAATTCAGGGATCTTTCTTTCTTTTTTTTTTTTTTTTCTTCTTTGACTATGTTTCTTCTTAGCCAATCCAGAACATGATGACTTGTTTTTAAAGGTTTCCTTATTTTTATTATTATTATTACACTTTAAGTTCTGGGATACATGTGCAGGATCTGCAGGTTTGTTACACAGGTATATATGTGCCATGGTGGTTTGCTGCACCCATCAACCTGTCATCTACATTAGGTATTTCTCCTAATGCTAACCCTCCCCTAGCCTCCCACCCCCCGACAGGCCCCAGTGTGTGATGTTCCCCACCCTGTGTCCATGTGTTCCCATTGTTCAACTCCCACTTATAAGTGAGAACGTGCAGTATTTGGTTTTCTGTTCCTCTGTTAGTTTGTTGAGAATGATGGTTTCCAGCTTTATCCATGTCCCTGCAAAGGACATGAACTCATCCTTTTTTATGGCTGCTTAGTATTCCATGGTGTATATGTGCCACATTTTCTTTATCCAGTCTATCATTGATGGGCATTTGGGTTGGTTCCAAGTCTTTGCTATTGTGAATAGTGCCACAATAAACATACCTGTGCATGTGTCTTTATAGTAGAATGATTTATAATACTTTAGGTATATACCCACTAATGGGATTGCTGGATCAAATGGTATTTCTGGTTCTAGATCTTTGAGGAATCGCCACACTGTCTTCCAGAAAGGTTGAACTAATTTACACTCCCACCAACAGTGTAAAAGTGTTCCTATTCCTCCACATCCTCTCCAGCATCTGTTACTTCCTGACTTTTTAATGATCGCCATTCTAACTGGCATGAGATGGTATCTCATTGTGGCTTTGATTGGCATTTCTCTGATGACTAGTGATGATGAGCTTTTTTTCATATGTTTGTTGGCCACATAAATGTCTTCTTTTGAGAAGTGTCTCTTCATATCCTTCACCCACTTTTTGATGGGGTTGTTTGTTTTTTTTCTTAATAACTGTTTAAGTTCCTTACAGATTCTGGATATTAGCCCTTTGTCAGATGAATAGATTGCAAAAATTTTCTCCCATTCTGTAGGTTGCCTGTTCACTCTGATGATAGTTTATTTTGCTGCGCAGAAGCTCTTTAGTTTAATTAGATCCCATTTGTCAATTTTGGCTTTTGTTGCCATTGCTTTTGGTGTTTTACTCATGAGGTCTTTTCCCATGCCTATGTCCTGAATGGTATTGCCTAGGTTTTCTTCTAGGGTTTTTATGGTTTTAGGTCTTACATTTAAGTCCATCTTGAGTTAATTTTTGTCTAAGGTATAAGGAAGGGGTCCAGTTTCAGTTTTCTGCATAAGGCTAGCCAGTTTTCTCAACACCATTTATTAAATCAGGAATCCTTCCCCCATTGCTTGTTTTTGTCAGGTTTGTCAAAGATCAGATGGTTGTAGATGTTTGGCATTATTTCTGAGGCCTCTGTTCTGTTCCATTGGTCTATATATCTGTCTTGATACCAGTACCATGCTCTTTTCGTCACTGTAGCCTTGTAGTATAGTTTGAAGTCACGTAACGTGATGCCTCCAGCTTTGTTCTTTTTGCTTAGGATTGTCTTAGCTATACGGGCTCTTTTTTGGTTCCATATGATATTTAAAGTAATTTTTTTCTAATTCTGTGAAGAAAGTCAATGGTAGCTTGATGGGGATAGCACTGAATCTATAAATTACTTTGAGCAGTATGGCCATTTTCACAATATTGATTCTTCGTATCCGTGAGCATGGAATGTTTTTCCATTTGTTTGTGTCCTCTCTTACTTCCTTGAGCAGTGGTTCGTAGTTCTCCTTGAAGAGGTCCCTCACATCCCTTGTAAGTTGTATTCCTAGGTATTTTATTCTCTTTGTAGCAATTGTGAATGGGAGTTCACTCATGATTTGGCTCTCTGTTTGTCTATTATTGGTGTATAGGAATGCTTGTGATTTTCGCACATTGATTTTATATTTTGAGACTTGGCTGAAGTTGCTTATCAGCTTAAGGAGATTTGGGGCTGAGACGATGGGGTTTTCCAAATATACAATCATATCATCTGCAAACAGAGACAATTTGACTTCCTCTCTTCCTATTTGAATATCCTTTATTTTTTCTCTTGCCTGATTGTCCTGACCAGAACTTCCAATACTATGTTGAATAGGAGTGGTGAGAGAGGGCATCCTTGTCTTGTGCTGGTTTTCAAAGGGAATGCTTCCAGCTTTTTCCCATTCAGTATGATATTGGCTGTGGGTTTATAATAAATAGCTCTTATTGTTTTGAGATACGTTCCATCAATACCTAGTTTATTGAGTGTTTATAGCATGAAGGGGTGTTGAATTTTATTGAAGGCCTTTTCTGCATCTATTGAGATAATCATGTGGTTTTTGTCATTGGTTCTGTTTATGTGATGGATTACTATTATTGATTTGCATATGTTGAACCAGCCTTGCATCCCAGAGATGAAGCCAACTTGATCGTGGTGGATAAGCTTTTTGATGCGCTGCTGGTTTCAGTTTGCCAGTATTTTATTGAGGATTTTCACATCGATGCTCATCAGGGATATTGGCCTGAAATTTTCTTTTTGGTTTCTGTCTCTGCCAGGTTTTGACATCAGGATGATGCTGGGCTCATAAAATGAGTTAGGGATGATTCCCTCTTTTTCTATTGTTTGGAATAGTTTCAGAAGGAATGGTACCGGCTCCTCTTTGTACCTTTGGTAGAATTTGGCTGTGAATCTGTCTGGTCCTGGGCTTTTTTTGGTGGGTAGGCTATTAATTACCACCTCAATTTCAGAACTTGTTATTGGTCTATTCAGGGATTCAACTTCTTCCTGGTTTAGTCTTGGGAGGGTGTATGTGTCCAGGAATTTATCCATTTCTTCTAGATTTTCTAGTTTATTTGCATTTAGGTGTTTATAGTATTCTCTGATGGTAGTTTGTATTTCTGTGGGATCAGTGGTGATATCCCCTTTATCATTTTTTTGTGTGTTTATTTGATTCTTCTCTCTTTTTGTCTTTATTAGTCTGGCCAGCATTCTATCTATTTTCTAATCTTTTCAAAAAACCAGCTCCTGGATTCATTGATTTTTTGAAGGGTTTTTTGTGTCTCTATCTCCTTCAGTTCTGCTCTGATCTGAGTTATTTCTTGTCTTCTGATAGCTTTTGAATTTGTTTGCTCTTGCTTCTCTAGTTCTTTTAATTGTGATGTTAGGGTGTCGATTTTAGATCTTTCCCGCTTTCTCCTGTGGGCATTTAGTGCTATAAGTTTCCCTCTAAACACTGCTTTAGCTGTGTCCCAGAGATTCTGGTACATTGTGTCTTTGTTCTCGTTGGTTTCAAATAACTTACTTATTTCTGCCTTCATTTCATTATGTACCCAGTAATCATTCAGCAGCAGGTTGTTCATTTTCCATGTAGTTCTGTGGTTTTGAGTGAGTTTCTTAATCCTGAGTTCTAATTTGATTGCACCATGGTCTGAGAGACTGTTTGTTATGATTTCTTTTCTTTTGCATTTGCTAAGGAGTGTTTTACTTCCAACTATGTGGTCAATTTTAGAATAAGTGCGATGTGGTGCTAAGAAGAATGTATATTCTGTTGATTTGGGGTGGAGAATTCTGTAGATGTCTATTAGGTCCACTTGGTCCAGAGTTGAGTTCAAGTCCTGAATATCCTTGTTAATTTTCTGTCTTGTCAATCTGTCTAATATTGACAGTGGGGTGTTAAAGTCTCCCACTATTATTGTGTGGCAGTTTGAGTCTCTTTGTAGGTCTCTAAGAACTTGCTTTATGAATCTGGGAGCTTCTGTGTTGGGTTCATATATATTTAGGATAGTTAGCTCTCTTGTTGCATTGATCTCTTTACCATTATGTAATGCCCTTCTGTTACTTTTTTTATCTTTGTTGGTTTAAAGTCTGTTTTATCAGAGACTAGGATTGCAACCGCTGCTTTTTTTTTTTTTTTTTTTTTTTGCTTTCCATTTTCTTGGTAAACGTTCCTCTATCCCTTTATTTTGAGCCTATGTGTGTCTTTGCACATGAGATGGGTCTCCTGCATATAGCACACCAATGGGTCTTGACTCTTTATCCAATTTGCCAGTTTGTGTCTTTTAACTGGGGCATTTAGCCCATTTACATTTAAAGTTAATATTGTTATGTGTGAATTTAATCCTGTCATTATGATGCTAACTGGTTATTTTGCCCATTAGTTAATGCAGTTTCTTCATAGTGTCAATGGTCTTTACAATTTGGTATGTCTTTGCAGTGGCTGGTACCGGTTTTTCCTTTCTATATTTAGTGGGTCCTTCAGGAGCTCTTGTAAGGCAGGCTTGGTGGTGAGAAAATCTCTTAGCATTTGCTTGTCTGTAAATGATTTTATTTATCCTTTGCTTATGAAGCTTAGTTTTGCTGGATATGTAATTCTGTGTTGAAAATTCTTCTCTTTATGAATGTTGAATATTGACCCCCACTGTCTTCTGGGTTGTAGGGTTTATGCAGAGAGATCCGCTGTTAGTCTGATGGGCTTCCCTTTGTGGGTAACCTGGCCTTTCTTTCTGGCTGCCCTTAACATTTTTTCCTCCATTTCAACCTTGGTGAATCTGACAATTATGTGTCTTGGGGTTGCTCTTCTCGAGGAGTACCTTTGTGGTGTTCTCTGCATTTCCTGAATTTGAATGTTGGCCTGCCTTGCTAGGTTGGGGAAGTTCTCCTGGATAATATCCTAAAGAGTGTTTTCCAACTTGGCTCCATTCTCCCTGTCACTTTCAGATACAACAATCAAGCATAGGTTTGGTCTTTCCACATAGCCCTCTATTTCTTGGAGGCTTGGTTCATTCCTTTTCATTCTTTTTTCTGTAATCTTGTCTTCACACTTTATTTCATTAAGTTCATCTTCAGTCTCTGATATCCTTTCTTCCACTTGATCAATTCAGCTATTGAAACTTTTGTGTGCTTCACGAAGTTCTCTTGCTGTGCTTTTCAGCTCCACCAGGTCATTTATATTCTTCTCTAAACTGGTTATTCTAGTTAGCAATTCCTCTAACCTTTTTTCAAAGTTCTTAGCTTCCTTGCATTGGGTTAGTACATGATCCTTTAGCTCAGAGGAGTTTGTTATTACCCACCTTCTGGAGCCTACTTCTGTCAATTCATCAAACTCATTCTCCATCCAGTTTTGTTCCCTTGCTGGTGAGGAGTTGTGATCCTTTGGAAGAGAAGAGGTGTTCTGGTTTTTGGAATTTTTAGCCTTTTTGTGCTGGCTTTTCCTCATCTTCTTGGATTTATCTACCTTTGGTCATTGATGTTGGTGACCTTCGGATGAGGTTTCTGTGTGGACGTCCTTTTTGTTGATGTTGATGCTATTCCTTTCTGTTTGTTAGTTTTCCTTCTAACAGTCAGGCCCCTCTGCTGTAGGTCTGCTGGAGTTTTCTGGAGGTCCACTCCAGACCCTGTTTGCCTGGGTGTCACCAGCAGAGGCTGCAGAACAGCAAAGATTGCTGCCTGTTCCTTCCTCTGGAAGTTTCGTCCCAGAGGGGTACCCACCAGATGCCAGCCGGAGCTCTCCTGTATGAGGTGTCTGTCAACCCTTGCTGGGAGGTGTCTCCCAGTCAGGAGGCAAGGGGATCAGGGACCCACCTGAGGAGGCACTCTGTCTCTTAGCAGAGCTCAAGCGTTGTGCTGGGAGATCTGATCCTCTCTTCAGAGCCAGCAGGCAAGAATGTTTAAGTCAGCTGAAGCTGTGCCCACAGCCACCCCTTCCCCCAGGTGCTCTGTCCCAGGGAGATAGGAGTTTTATCTATAAGCCCCTGACTGGGGCTGCTGCCTTTCTTTCAGAGATGCCCTGCCCAGAGAGGAGGAATCTAGAGAGGCAGTCTGGCTACAGTGGCTTTGCCGAGCTGTTGTGGGTTTCACCCAGTTCAAACTTCCTGGTGGCTTTGTTTACACTGTGAGGGGAAAACTGACTACTCAAGCCTCAGTAGTGGCAGACGCTCCTCCTGCCACCAAACTCAAGCATCCCAGGTCAACTTCAGACTGCTGTGCTGGCAGTGAGAATTTCAAGCCAGTGGATCTTAGCTTTCTGGGATCTGTGGGGGTGGGATCCACTGAGCTAGACCACTTGGCTCCTTGGTGTCAGCCCCCTTTCCAGGGCAGTGAATGGTTCTGTCTCACTGGCATTCCAGATGTCACTGAGGTATGAAAAAAAACTCCTACAGCTAGCTCAGTGTCTGCCCAAATGGCCGCCCAGTTTTGTGCTTGAAACCCAGGGCCCTGCTGGTATAGGCATCCAAGAGAATATCCTGGTCTGTGGGTTGTAAAGACAGTAGGAAAAGCGTAGTATCTGGGCCTGAATGCACCATTCCTCATGGCACAGTCCCTCATAGCTTCCCTTGGCTAGGGGAGGGAGTTCCATGACCCCTTGTGCTTCCAGGGTGAGGTGATGCCCCATCTTGCTTCTGCTCACCCTCCGTGGGCTGCACCCATTGTCTAACCAGTCCCAATGAGAGGAGCTGGGTATCTCAGTTGGAAATGCTGAAATAACCCTCCTTCTGCGTTGATCTCATTGGGAGCTGCAGACGAGAGCTGTTCGTATTCTGCCATCTTGCCAGCCCCTCTAATTTTTTTTTTTCTATTTTTTGTAGACACTGGGTTTCACCATGTTGCCCAGGCGGGTCTTGAACTCCTGGGCTCAAGTGATTCACCTGCCTTGGCGTCTCAAAGTCCTAGGATTACATGTGTGAACTGCCACACCCAGCCTATTATCAAGGCCCCTTTAAAGTCAAAATTCGATAACTTAATAGTTACTAAGAACCTACCATGTGACAGGCCCTGATCTAGATGCTGAGGCTGCAAAAATGTGTATGATATGATGCCCTGGGGAGCTTACAACTGAAAAAATCCTAAATAAACAAGAGTTGTTATTGTTCCATACTCATGTAGTCAACAAAATTTATTCCATTCCTGTTTGTGCTTAAGGTACTCTGATGAATCCACTCAAGGGAAGGAATCGAGATTTATTGAGGACTTAGAATAAGCTGGGCACTCTGCCGAGTATTTGGTTTGATCTTGTTTAATCTTCAAAATCATTTTACAAATAAAGAACCTGAGGCAGTAGAGGGCAGGAGGAATTGGCCCAAGAATGTGCAGATAGTGACAGACAGAGACTGGGCTTCTGTCTGTGGTCCTTGATTTTCCAGCTAAACCACACTGCCTGTCCTGCAGCAGCAGGAGATGAAATGATATGATGGGTTCCAGCCTGGGTAATATATCAAGACCCCCATCTCCACAGAAAATGTAAAAATTAGCCAGGCGTGGTGGCACCCACCTATAGTCCTAGCTGCTCAGGAGGCTGAGGCAGGAGGATCCCTTGAGCCCAGGAGTTCAAGGCTGTAGTAAGCTATGACCACGCCACTACACTCCAGTCTGGGCAACAGAGCAAGTCTCTAAAAAAAAGAAATAAACTAAAATTACAATGGGATATGTGTTATGACAGAAAGGAAGACATTCCCCTCTTACTCCACTCCTAACCCTCTTTTTTGAGGTCCCCAGCAAATTTCATGAACTTTGATCTCTTCTATTACCTAGCTGGGGATGAGAAGGTTGCAGAGGCCCAGGGTGAATCTGGGGCTCAGCTGCTTCTGCCTCCAGTTACCCCCTTCATGGTCGTGCTTGACATTCTGACTTCTTAGTTTACTGGTGAAATTACTCACCAGTTGGTCAGTATGTCATGGAAAGAGATTAGGTCATATCAGCCTGCTAGGAAACTCTTGGCTTTCTAAACCTGGTTAGCACTTTTTCCCTTTGAGTTGTTTATACATTCATTGCATTTCATCTTTATTTGTTCTTGCAGATTTGGCAGGTGACAAACTATATAATCCGTAACTTCTACCATTACCCATAAAGTTAAAACTTTGAACAATTCTCCTTTGGCATGGCTAAACCCACCTCAGAGAACCCAAGCTGGCTAACTTATGTTGGTGCTATCTTATGCATTTAGTCTGGATCTCCATTTGGCCAATGATTCTAGACATCTTTGGAGGAAATTTGTAGCCAGAAGATTGCTCAACCTAAGTAAATGGGGATAGATGGATCTTCCCATTTGCAAAATCAGCCTGGTTATGTGACCAAACATCAGAGTTTCCCATATTTGGCCATTATTGAAGAGCGTATATTTTACAAGTGATTTTTTAAGCACTTATACAAATACTATTTTTTATACTATCAGAATCCCATTTAAAATTTTTCTACCATTAAATGGCAAATGCATTCTTGCATTCCTTTTAGGTACCTCCAGAAGGTTTCAATTGTTTATCCAAGGGTCAAACAAGCTCTGGAATTAAATGGAATCAATCCTTAACAAAGTGATGAGTAACTTGCTTCTTGTAACATTTTTTCTTTCCTTTTCAGGATTAAAAGGAGAAGAAAAATATCCCCAAATGACAGCCAGAGGATAGAGGTCACCCAGAGTCATAAAAGCCCATGGTCTGTGTTTGTAGCCCTTGGAATTTCACATTCAGATCATGACTCCTAGAGTTAAAAACACAGGCCAGTTTCTCAATCCAGGATCCAAAACTTCCCAGCTTCCTCTGACACTTGAAGGTCAGCCCCTGGTGACCAGCACTGAGCACACTAGCCACCCAGGTGGTCCTGTGGAGGGTGGCCTGCAGCCCTGGAAATGCACTCCTGCTATCTGATTCTCAGGATTACCAGGAGTACTTCCCCCAGGACCTTGCTGGGCCAAAGCACACTGTGGAGATGGGGGTACAGAGAAGCCCTTTTCTCCATGGGTGCTGCCAGTGCCCAAAGCCTGGCCTTCAAGGAGAATGAACTTTCTTTCTCTTTTCTTTTCTTTTTCCTTCCTTCCTTCCTACCTTCCTTCCTTCCTTCCTTTCTTCCCTCCTTCCCTCCCTCCCTCCCTCTCTCTCTCTCTCTTTCTTTGTTTTTTTCTGGTTTTGCTCTGTTGCCCAGGCTGGAATGCAGTGGCAGAATGTTGGCTCACTGCAACCTCTGCCTCCTGTCTCCCAGGTTCAAGCGATTCTCGTGCCTCAGCCTCCTGAATAGCTGGGATTAGAGGCATAAGCCACCACGCCCAGCTAATTTTTGTATTTTTAATACAGACGGGGTTTAACCATGTTGGCCAGGCTGGTCTCCAGCTCTTGACCTCAAGTGATCTGCCCACCTCAGCCTCCCAAAGTGCTGGGATTACAGGTATGAGCCACCACACCCAGCCAAAGAGAACTTTCTTAACTTCCCTGTACTCACAGCACAGCCATTCTTCAGCTCATCTTCCTCTCATTGCTTATGGCAGCTGTTCCAAACTTTTGTCACTTCCTCAGGTCTCTTAGAAGTTGATGCTTCCTAAATTTCTGTAATTTATTTAATTAACTCATTCATTCAACTACTATTTGAGGTCCTAGGAGATGTCAAGCACTGTATAGGGCATTAGGGACACAGCAGTGAATGAGCGGACATGGCCCCACGCTTGTTGTGGAGCTTCTAAGCTAGCTCACAGTCCCTTCCAACTCCACTGACTTCCCAGGTCATCCCATCCCTTCTCCCAGCCTTCAGTTACAACCTGTACCCTGAAAACTCCCTCTTTTCTCAGCTGACCCAGAAATCCATCCAACTGGGCCAGACAGTGTCATATAGGCATCCTGGCTTCTGGCTGGCAATGAGGAAAAGAATCTCCTTATAAAGAGGATGGTTGAACAACTCGGCCAAGACTCATCCCAGAGTGCCTTTATCCTGGGGATACCTGCTCTGATCCCAGCTGAAATCTCCATGCTGGAAACCCTCAGGAAACCATTTCCCCTTCCCACCTGCCTAGGCAGGGATAATACACAGCAGCACTAAAGCCAGGCTACAGCTTTTAGCAGAACTTTCTTGAAGGTTCCTAGAGAAGAAAATTAATTATCCACCAGGTGGAACTTACAACTGGATATTGGATATGTTTTCTCCTAGAGTATACACTGGCCTGGACGGCCCTGATAGGCTCTCTCTGCCTACCCTGGTCACCTACGTAGAAAAGAAGTCACCTCCCCTCCCCATCTTATCCCCACCCAGAAATACTTTCAACACACCTAGAGCATGTTCTCAGAGAGGGAGGCCGGGAGCAGTGGCTCATGCCTGTAAACCCAGCACTTTGGGAGACTGAGGTGGGAGGATCACTTAAGCCCGGGAGTTTGAGACCAGCCTGGCCAACATAATGAGACCTCATCTCTACAGAACATTTAAAAAAAAAAACTAGCTGGGTATGGTGGTATGTACCTGTAGTCCCAGCTACTCGGGAGGCTAAGGTGGGAGGATAGCTTAAGCCCAGGTTGAGGTTGAGGGTGCAGTGAGCCAAAATCGTACCACTGTACTCCAGCCTGAGTGACAGAGTGAGACTCTCCCTCAATAAAACAGACAGAGAGGGGAAGGAGGCCCCCTTTCTCTGCTGTTTCTGGTCTTTTTTTAATTCTTTTTTAATTCTCCACTCTGTTGCCCAGGCTGGAGTACAGTGGTGCTCTCATATCTCACCACAGACTCCCAACTCCTAGGCTCAAGCAATCCTCCTGCCTCAGCCTCCCTAGTAGCTGAGACTACAGGCACATGCTGCCATGCCCAGATACTTTTTTTATTTTTTATTTTGGTAGAGATGAGAACTCACAATGTTGCCCAGGCTAGTCTTCGACTCCTGGCCTCAAGCAATGCCCCCACTTCAGCTTCCTGAAGTGCTGGGATTACAGGTGTGAGCCACTGTGTAAGGTCTGCTTTCTAAGACCACAGTTCCCATCCCAGGATTTTCTTCTTCCTAGGAAGATTGTTCTGACTAGGTCCTCTCCCTGCAGGGGGACTTCTTTCATCCATAGATTGTGGCCTTTCTGCCTGCTGAACAGTACACTGTAGTCTAACTCTGTAGAGAAAGTACACATATTGTGATGTGGGGGTCGGGGGAGGGAAGGAGGTTGAGAAGGACAGTGACTATTTGCAGAGATACCTTGCACTATCTATAAAACCAAACTCAATATGTCCCTCCCCACAAATCTACTCACCTTTTGTGGGTACCCTCCCCACAAATCTACTCATCTTTTGTGGGTACCCAAATTTGTGGGTACCCTCCCCACAAATCTACTCATCTTTTGCTTATTCTTATCTTAAATAATGGCATCATTATTTAAATAAATATGTCCCTCCCCACAAATCTACTCATCTTTTGTGGGTACCCTCCCCACAAATCTACTCATCTTTTGTGGGTACCCAAATTCGTGGGTACCCTCCCCACAAATCTACTCATCTTTTGCTTATTCTTATCTTAAATAATGGCGTCAGCATCCTCAAAGTCACCCAAATCAGAGTACTGGGCATCACCCTGGTGCCTCCCACTCAGGTTCCCACACCCTCTTTCTCCTAAATATCTTTCCAACCTGCCATCTCCTTCCCGTATCTGCACCTGGGTTCAGGCCTTCTCATCTCTACTGGAACCAGGGAAAAGTCTTCCTCACTGATCTTCCTGCCTCCAGCTTCCCTGCTCTAATCCATCCTCCACACTGCAGTTTGCTTTCTCAAACTGGAATCCCACCATACATGTAGGATTGTTTTCCTGGAGCCAGACTACCTGTGTTCAAACCTGTGTAAGTTTTGTGACCGTGGGCAAGTTGCTCGACCCCTGTGTAGCTCAGTTTCCTCATCAGTAAAGTGAGGATAATGGTGCCCGCCCCAGAGAGACTGTGGTCAGCTGCTTCTAAAATGGCTTCCAATGAGCCCACCTTCTGGTAGTCATGCCCTGTGTAATACCCTCTCATCATCATCATGATTATGACTTGTTTAGGCACACCACTATGCTAAAAACTCCAAAAGGGTAAGGATAGTGGCTGTCTGTTTAGCTGCTGTATCTCAAGCTCTTAGCATTGTGCTAGGTTCACAATCTTATAGTCAACGATAAAAGAATAAACAGGAAGAAACTGAACTGGGGTCCTCCAGACTCTTACCTCTTGGGCCAGAAAAGGAGCTGCTGAGAGTCGGGGGGCACTCTGAGAGCCCAGGTGCTCCTTCCAGCCAGAAGATGGACCAAGTAAGTAAGGACCCAGCAAGCTGGCACCCAAGGTCCCTTTTGGTTTCACAGCCTCCTTGAGGCCAGGGTGGAGGTTTCTCCGGAGCACAGGGATCACAAAGCTAGTCCTGTGTCTGAATCACATCCCTGGAAGGCACAGAGGAAACAATGAAATCTTCATCACCAACCCCCTCTCCTGGCCTGCCAGATAGATGCTCCTTGTTTTGTGAACAGGGAGCGAAGAGGAGAGGCTGTGTTTTACTTGGCTAGGTAATACCACTCTTCTTGACTGAAGAAATATACGCTAGAGGGACTAAAAGTAGAAAGTAGTTCTCACCCAAGACAGCTTTATTCCCAGAGGCGAGGCCCTACAGTAACATAAAGAAGCTGTATGTATCCTCGATGTGCCAATGGCCCAATTATCTCCCTCCCCACCCCACCCCCAAGATTTTTTCCACCTACACATCACCCACTCCTGCTTAAGATTTAGCTCAAATGATTCCTCCTCCATGACACCTTCCCCATCTTCCCGGGCAAAAATAGGTACCTGTGCCCTAGGCTCCTGTCGTGCCCTTGCCTAATGCCTCCATTACATCATGCTATAATTGTGGTCTTGGTGGATGCCTTCTTGCAACTGCCAGGGGGCCACCAGGCTGTGAATGAGCTCCTGGAGGGGGAGGACTGTGTTTTATTGCTTTTGTATTCCCACCTCATCAGAGTTCACAAAGTAGGTGCCAACGCTGATTAAATTAGAGTGCTGTTGCATTCTGAATTCAGGAATGGCAGAAATAGGTTGGGGCCTGGTGGCTCATACCTGTAATCCCAACACTTTCGGAGGAGGATATAACAGGACTGCTTGAGCCCTGGAGTTCGAGACCATCCTGGGCAAAATAGCAAGACTTTGTCTCTACAAAAAAAAATTTAAAAGTTAGCTGGGCACACCTGTAGTCCCACCTACTCAGGAGACTGAGGTGGGAGGATTGCTTGAGCCCAGGAGGTTGAGGCTTCAGTGAGCTATGATGGCACCACTGCACTCCAGCCTGGGCGACAGAGCAAGACCCTGTCTCTTAAAAAGGAAAGAAAGAAATGAATCTCTAGAAGGGCATTAAACCCATTTTTGCAGAAGAATGTAGGGAAGAGAAGATAGGAGTTATGTGTGGCTTATCTTAGAAGGAAAGCTCTCTGGAAGCTATGTACTCCGTTGTGTAAGGAAGTCAAGACTGCAGGGCATAGCACCATAAGTCTGTGGAATTTAATCTATTTTCATAGGAAACCACCTCCCTACTCTGTACACTGACAAGGACTCTCCCTTATTCGAAGCCAGTAGTTCTCAAAGTGTGGTCCCAACCAGCAGCTTGTCATCACTTAGAACCTTGCTACAAATTCAAATTCTTAAGCCCTAGCCCAGACCTACTGGATCAGAAACTGTGGGGTTAGGCCCAGCCATCTGTGTTTTAACCAGCCCTCCGTGTAATTCTAATACACACTTGACTTTGAAAACTGAAGTTCCAAGTCTACTGAAACTCACGTGAAAAAGACCTTAGAAATACAATCCAGATTGATTAAAGATTAAGATTAAAGGAGAACTCAAGACAATGCCCCTTACTGCAAAATGCCCAGGATCAATGCAACTTCCCAGTATTTTCCACGAAACAGTTCAACAGGCAATTAAATCAACTCAACACATTTATTTTAAATGTGCAAAATGAATTTTCATATTCTAAGAGTAACACCAGATGTTTTACCTCTTTTTCCTAATTGATTTTCCAGCCTACAGCAATTCATCTTTATGTTTTCCAGTTGGATCCTAATGCAGCAAGAAGAGTGTGTTCCGGCAGGATTATGAAATGCCACGCATTTTCAAACAAGCATAACTTGGGCTGCCATGCGTCATCTGAGTGTTTGTCTGCCCATAATATAAAACACAGACAGTTATGGGTACCAGGCAGATCAGAGCAACCCAGAAAAGGCCCTTTCAGGGAGTTGGGCCTCCAGGCTCTTGGCTGGTTGCAAAGCTGAGTCCTGGGCATTCAGCCCAAGCCTGAACTCTTCCCCCACTGGGTCCTGCGCTCCCTGGTACCAAAGGATTTGCTAGCTGTAAAAGCTGCAAATAAACATGCTGTTTGTCGATGGGAAGTTTTGTCTTTAAAATGAAAAAGGAGACTGCAGTCTGGAGGTGAGTGGGGCCGAGGGACTGAGGAAGGAGTTAGGCAGTTGCTCAAAGCAGGCAGCCTGGATAGACCCCTCTCCCCTCTGCTCCTGGAGGAGCCCAGACAATCCCCTTCTGTTAGTCAATGCACCCACCCAGCTGAGCAGGAGGTCCAGTTACTGCCAGCATTTAAGTGGGTGAAAGGTCACCACCAACCAGGTTTTATTCACTCAACAAAAGCTCTTGGAGTCTGGGGTAAGACCAGGAAACAGAAGCCTCAAGCTTTGAAGCAAACAACTTCAAAGGAGACCTCCACCTTTGTCCTGGGAATGGGGAGGAGGGGGAAGGAGAAGGTGGCAACTAAGTGCTAGAAACCCAGAAAATGCTGATTCAAAAAAAATGAAAACCACACTTCTCAGGCAGTTGACACTCTCAGCTACCTTCCCTGGAAGCTGCGAGAGCTGGCAGGTTTGAACCATCATGCCTGCAGCAGAATTTTAATGTGGTCTCCACCTATAAATCAGCCCGTCTGGTTCTAAGAACCATTACAGCAAAGCTAAGTGTCTACGATTAGAGTTTATCATGACTCTCAAAAAGTGGCAGCTCCAACTTTAAGAACCACCAAAACATCCAATGTTCTTTCCACAATATGGCCCTTCTCTGAACTTAGAATAAATCATTCTAGGTTACTTAATAAAGGACATATTGGGATCAAAGCTTGATAATTTTAAAAAATCACCTCTTTATCTGAACTCCCCCACTTCTGGAAGCTCCAGGCCCAAAGATAACAACCTACAACTTCCTGGGATATTGTGTAAACCCCTTGATGGCCTGAAGGGAACCCAGTAAACAGGCTTCCTGATAGCGTGACCCCACACCAACGATTAATAAAGGTTTTCTAAATTTAAAATGCACAAATGATAACTTTCCAAGACTCAAAGAATAAGCAAAGCCCCATAATAGACTTAAAGACACAAGTGTTTTTAAGACACACAGATGAATGAAATCAAGATCTTCGGTCTCACCCAATTGAACTGAGTACATAATAGGTCAAAAGTTTTTGCACTGGGTGTCGGGGTATCCACTCATCTTCCTCTAGGAATGTGACAGGAACAACCTGGTCTCCCTTGGTCACCCAACCCCCACATGCTCTCAAAGGGACTTCATCCTCATTTACTACATTTGCTATAAGGGAAACGGAGTTGGCAAGAAAGGATCTCGCCTAGGAGAATATCTCCCTTGTTCCAAATTCACAAGGGTATTTTTACACACTATTAAACCACAAGAGCCATTTTATAAATGTCATCATCATAGTCTTTTAATATTTTACATAAAAAACTGTATACACAGCTTATAGAACTTTTATGTAAACATCATAAGCTCACCATTTTGTCATTTGTCAGTTTATTTAAAAAATAAAAAACAAGACAACAATTTAGTAGAAGTACCACTGGGAGGGAGGGGAGGGGAAAAAAGGATATACAGGGGCAGGTGTATTCTCTGTACAGAGGTGCAGAGAAAATTTCACATAGCTTTAGAGAATGCCTTGTGGAAAAAAAAAAAATAGGCCCCAATACTTGTTACTGCCCTTTATCAAAACTGTGTGCATGACCTGCACAAATAAAATCACAAAACAGTGTTGCCACATTCTTCAAGGAAACAAAGCAAAATTTAGTGGGTTTCTTTTCCCTCTCCTTGTTAAAAGTCATTTTTTAAAAACATCAGAAGTAGATGAGGTTACAGCGTACAAGTGTGGTCAGAATGCTACTGTCGTATGCAAATGACGAGTGCATTAAGTGTCAAACAATGAAACAATTGTGCAAAGAATAAAAAAACAAATTTTAGCCTTTAAATAAATCAAATAACATCAGTTTCTTGGACTGAACAATTTTCACTTCTAGGACAGGCACAAAGTTCGCTTATGGCAAAAACAACCCCACAGCGCATCCTCCCTCCTCCCTCCGGTAGCTGGTGGAGGGTTCGCAGCGGGCTGGCCCGCAGGAGAGGCTGTGCTGAAGCTGTGTCCTCCCCAAGTCAGTTGCAAATGTCTTCCCCAGGGGTTGGAAAGATGGTCAAGTCCTGTTCATGCTTGGGCGGGAGTCTGGCCCAGCCTGGGCCAGAGCGCTCACCCATCACCACCCTTAAATAACACCATCTTAGCTCCGAAAATAAAATTATATCTATATTTATATAACATCCCCCCATCCTCCCCAGCAGCCCTCCCCTCCCGCAGTACCCGGGGTCTATGTTACAGACAAGGGATATCAAGCTCCCGCTGGTGAAGGGCGAACATCTGATGGGGCGCGGCCACACTCCCGCGCCAATCTCGCCCCCGGGGATCAGAGGCGGGGGTGGGGTGAAAATGGGGCGAGGGGAGTCGAACAGACACACAGCCACACACTCTGAGGCCCGGCTCTTCAGAAAAGCATGCTCAGGGGACCCTTGGCACTCAGTGGGGAGCCCAGGCCTGTGCAACACAGCTGGACGCACACAGACACTGGGATGGGGGCGCCCGGTGCCCACGCCAAGTCCTGGCGCAAGCCAGAGGCGTCAGCAGACAGATGCCAGGCAGGCCGGTGGGGTCCTTGTGGGACACGGGTCTCCCCTTCTCCGGGCTCGCGGGGGACTGGTCCAGGAGGGGGAGCCGTGCCGGCAGGGGCAGGCGCGACGGGCGCGGCCCTCATAGCACCTTGCAGCAGTTGATGCAGCCGTTCTGGGAGCCGTAGCGCTTCTGCAGCGCGGCGCGCGTGGCCGTCTCGAAGACCTCGCGCACGCCTTCCTTGGTCTTGGCAGAGCACTCGAGGTAGTCGTAGGCTTGGATGCGCACGGCCATGGCGCGGCCGTCATCCGTGCGCACGGGTTCCTGCTTCATGCGGGCCAGCTCTGTGCGGACATGCTCGTCGCTGCGCAGGTCTTTTTTGTTGGCCACCAGGATGATGGGCACATTGGGACAGAAGTGCTTCACCTCGGGGACCCACTTCTCGGGGATGTTCTCCAGCGAGTCCGGGCTGTCCACCGAGAAGCACATGAGAATGACGTCGGTGTCCGGGTAGGAGAGCGGCCGCAGGCGGTCGTAGTCCTCCTGGCCCGCCGTGTCCCACAGCGCCAGCTCCACCTGCTTGCCGTCCACCTCAATGTCGGCCACATAGTTCTCGAAGACGGTGGGCACGTACACCTCGGGGAACTCGTCCTTACTGAACACGATCAGCAGGCACGTCTTGCCACACGCGCCGTCGCCCACCACCACCAGCTTCTTGCGGATGGCCGCCATGAGCGGGCCGGGCCCGGGCAGCAGGAGGGGGCCCGCGAACGCCTCGCTGCCCTCCCGCTCGCCGCTCACTGCTCACCTCGGGCTGCGCGCAGGTGGCGAGAGGGTCGCTAGCTGCACCCGGGCCCCGCGGTGGCGCGTTCTCTCGCTGCGCTTCGGCTGCCGCGGCGGGGGCGGTGGGGGCGCGGGGGCATAGGGCGCACCGTGCGTCTCGCCGCGCTGCTCCCGGGCGGTGGTCGCTCTGCTCACCCCAGGCCGGGGATCGGCGGCTTTGTGCGTAACGCGGGCTCGGGCAGCAGACTCGGGCGGTGGACTCGGCCTAGCTCTCTCCCGGGTCTCTCCGGGCCTCGCTGAGCATACAAGACAACAGCTCCAACCAGACTGCGGTGGCAGATGAGGGCTGCGGCCCTAGCGCCCGCTATTTAAAGAGTCCGGCCACTTTCTTAATATAGCCGTCCAATGGGAAACCAGCCGGCTGAGCTCATCGCTGCGGAGCTTAGCTCTGATTGGCCGCCCCCTGCAGCCCGAGGGCGGGGCAGGGCCAGCTTGATTGACGGCCCAGGCCGCCGGGCTGGGAGAGGCAGCGACCGGGGAGTCCGCGCTGCTGCTGCCGCTGCGGGGCTCTGGCGGTACCCGGGTCCCCTCCTTCGCCGCAGCGTTTGCGCGCGGGGTCCGGGAGCTGGCTGTCTGGAGCCTCCAGGGTCTGGGCGAGCGGTTCCGAGACAGGCTTCACTCAGTGGGGCGTTGGCGACTCCCATTCAGAATTGCCCCTCTTCCTGGCAAACTCCCGGCGGGTGGTCGGGCCTGTGGGGGAGGGGCAGCTCTTTTAACGTGGTTTTGTTTTTAAATAAACAGACACACACACACACACACACACACACACACCCCACACACACACTTTTGTTCCCAAACAAGAGTGTTTTCTCTTTTCTTTTGGAGGTGGCCCCTCCTGTGGTTTAGGGCCCCACCCGGGTACTCGCCGTGGGCCAGCCTCGGGTTTGGACCCGAGAGGCGACCGGCTGGCTGCAAACTGGCTCTTCCAAGTCCCGCCGCCCCTACCCTTCCCAACCCCCAGCTTAGGTCTCTAGGTGAAGATTAAGGGAAGAGGTGCGGAGTGGCCCAAGCTTGACAACGGAAAGGGAAGGTCGAGGCTCGAACACTTGGAGGAAGTTACCGGACAGGAAGAAGCCCCTTCGGCCCCTCTTTTCACTATGAACTCTGATCCCGGTTCTTAAAACAGAGAACTGTCTGAGATAAATTGTACAATAGAATATACACTATTGTACAATAGAATGTACAATAGAATATACACTATTGTACAATAGAATGTACAATAGAATATACACTATTGTACAATAGAATGTACAATAGAATATACACTTGTACAATAGAATGTACAATAGAATATACACTATTGTACAATAGAATGTACAATAGAATATACACTATTGTACAATAGAATGTACAATAGAATATACACTATTGTACAATAGAATGTACAATAGAATATACACTATTGTACAATAGAATGTACAATAGAATATACACTATTGTACAATAGAACGTACAATATTCCGGGTTCAATAGAATCCAACCACCCCAAGACCCCTGAGCAGACGAAAAGGCTTGAGGCTGGAGAAGAGGGGAGGAGTAAGGGGCTAGCAAATGGGGCACAGCGGGTTAGGGGGTGTCCCCTCTATTGGGGCGTAGCCTCCTGATGCACGCCAGGACTGAACTCATTTATCCTGTAGATCCTGCATGAAATGACAGTACCGGTGATCCGGAAAGACCCAAGTCAACCGATTTCTACGGATAAAAGAGGAAGAAGGGGATAGGGGGAAAGGGGAGTCGGGGAGGGCTCCCGGGCAGGAGAAACAGCCTGAACACAAGCAGGAAGGTGGGAAGGAGCGGGGCAAACTCTAGGAGCTGCATATGCTGGGGCTCATGAGTGCTAAAGTATTAACAGCATGGGCTGGGCTCTGTCTATCCATTGCATGGGAAATGTCTGCAAACTGTTTTTTCAGCAAAGGAGGGACCCACCACATGACCGGGAGGTGGTTGCCTCCTGTCTCCGTCTCTGTCTCGGTCTCTGTCAGTTGTTGGAGGGCCAGGATTCTGTCTTATCTCCGCATCTTGAAGACCCAGCACAATGCCTGGCATTTACAAGGATCAGTAAATGACTGTGGGGAATTAACCCGAATGCTCAGAAACGCAGGTGGAATTTTCTGGGGGTTTCTTACCTCAGTTCCACACTTCGCTTTAACAATTATCTAACCAGGCCGGGCACAGTACCTCATGCCTGTGATCCCTGGGCGTGGGAGGCCCAGGCTGGAGAATTGTTTGAGCTCAGGAGTTCAAGACCAGCCTGGGTAACATGACAAAACCCCGTCCCTGTCCCTGAGAAAAATAAAATGGGATGGCGTGGGGAGGAGAGTGGCCTGCACCTATAATCTCAACTACTCAGGAGGCTGAGGTGGGAGGATTGCTTGAGCCCAGGAGGGCAAGGCTGCAGTGAGCTATGATCACAACACCCCACTCCAGCCTGGGTGACAGAATGAGACCCTGGCTCAAAAGAAAAAAAAAAAGTAAACATTAAAAAGAAAATCATTAAGCAAACCCATGCAGCCAACTGTGACTGAACCCCGGTGTTTTCACATGTAATTCATATGTTAAGAGCTAGGTCCCCATATGGCTCCACAGATGAAATCAGATCAAATAAGGCAGTAGTGCTGCTAAGCCTAGAGCCCTTCCTAGAGGGAACGTCTTATTTAGACGACTGGAAGTGCTGTGCTTCCCTCAGACTGGATTCACATCACTACAACAACCGGCCAACCAGCTTTTTTTTGTTGTTGTTGGCCGGGGCGGTGGGGGGCGGGGGTTTGTTTTTCAGATCTAAGGAACTGATCTGTCAGCAAGTAAATAGTTTTTCTGTTCATTGATTTAAGGATGCAATCTGGAAGCTTTTTTTTTTTCCTATTAGAAAAGTCTTATTTACACAAATTTTTCTTCTTTTAGTCAAAACCTTTTATAGCTGTATTGTTAACGCCGCTTTCCTTGGTCTTAATATAGCTTGGGAAACTTGGCTATGTCCTTAAACTTCAAATACCAAGAAATATGAAACAAAGCTTTGTACCATGTGTTTTTTTCTTTAAAAAACAAAGAATCCGGAAAACGGATTGAACTCCTTCGTGTTCTGATTTCCAGGAATATTATATGAGGTGTTCCAAGCTCAAATCTCAATATTGCAATAATTTCTAAAACTATGCAGTTGGTAAAAATGCCAAAGTAAACAAATAGATCTGTGTTCTGCAGTAACTTCTTTAGTAACTTCTTTTCATGGTATTTTTTTTTTTTTAGTCCAGGATACTTTGACAAGCTCTGCAGAGACTGGCTGCTTCCAAGACTGCCCCACACACAGGATAAACTTTTCCCAACTAGGTGATATGCCGGACAAGCCCCTCCCTGTCCCTTGCCCTTCATAATACACTTCCTCAGACAGGGATAAAATTTGATTCTTCTATGAGAACAAGTCATTTTATTTTATTTTATTTTTTGAGACAGAGTCCTACTCTGTCACCCAGGCTGGAGTGCAGTGGTATGATCTTGGCTCACTGTAACCTCGGCCTCCTGGGTTCAAGCAGTTCTCCTGCCTCAGACCCCCGAGTAGCTGGGATTACAGGCGTGTGACACCATGCCTGGCTAATTTTTGTATTTTCAGTACACAGGGTTTTCCCTTGTTGGCCAGGCTGGTCTCAAATTCCTGACTTCAAGTGATCCACCCACTTAGACCTCCCCAAGTGCTGGGATTACAGGCGTGAGCCACCGCCACCAGCCAAGAACAAGTCATGTTAACAATTAACTTTATTAACATATTCATCTTATGACATAATATATCCACACCTGTGAGACAGGGAAGTTGTATTTCAGACAAAAGGAGGATATTAATCTATCTCTAATCTTTAACCTAATTTATTTGGTTTTGTTTGTTTGCCAGGTGTCTCCTGTAAATCATTCTACACTCCTCAAAGACCAGAGCAGAGTTGGAATTTTCATTAGATTTTAGTGCCACCTTGCGGCAATCTTTATGGGGTCTTTTTCTTAAAAAAAAAAAAAGAAAGAAAAGAAAAGAAAACCTTTGGTCAAAAAGTATGCATTTTATGGATATTTTTATTTTAAAATATTTCAGAGCATATAAAACTCTGAATAATGTTTTACAAGTAGATTCTTAGAAATTCTTCATATGTATTTATACACACATAACTTTTTCATATACACTTTACAAAAATATTAACGAAAATGCCATTCAGTGGAAAAAAAAATTCCTTCCTAAATAGTAACTTCTAAAAGAAATTAGAAGAGAAAGATAAAGTCTATGGATCTTCACTAACTTACAGACTAATGGACTTCACTTTTCGTTTATTATAATGTACAGAAATTTAAAACAACTTTAGCCACAAAAATCATTCCGTTTTTGCCCCAGTTAAGAAAGCCATTGCTGGATACTCTGGTATAGTTAGAAGTAATAATAATTCATGTACTAGGAACCAGCAATGCAATAGACATTCCTGACAGGCATTTAATTTAAAAATATTTCCGCCGGGCGCGGTGGCTCACGCCTGTAATCCCAGCACTTTGGGAGGCCGAGGCGGGCGGATCACGAGGTCAGGAGATCGAGACCATCCTGGCTAACACGGTGAAACCCCGTCTCTACTAAAAATACAAAAAATTAGCCGGGCGTGGTAGCGGGCGCCTGTAGTCCCAGCTACTCGGGAGGCTGAGGCAGGAGAATGGCGTGAACCCGGGAGGCGGAGCTTGCAGTGAGCCGAGATCGCGCCACTGCACTCCAGCCTGGGCGACAGAGCGAGACTCCGTCTCAAAAAAAAAAAAAAAAAAAAAAAAATATTTCCTAATTTAGGAGTAGTTTAATGTCTCTAGGAAAATTGTCAATCTTCCATCTCTATGCAATGAGCTTTAAAAATGGAAAAGTTGGCCGGGAGCGGTGGCTCATGCCTGTAATCCCAGCACTTTGGGAGGCCGAGGCGGGCAGATCTTGAGGTCAGGAGATCGAGACCATCCTGGCTAACACGGTGAAACCCCGTCTCTACTGAAAATACAAAAAATTAGCCGGGCGTGGTGGCGGACGTCTGTAGTCCCAGCTACTCGAGAGGCTGAGGCAGGAGAATGGCATGAACCCTGGAGGCGGAGCTTGCAAGTGAGCCGAGATCGTACCACTGCACTCCAGCCTGGGGGAGACAGCAAGACTCCGTATCAATAAAAAAAAAAAAAAAAAAAAAAAAAGGAAAAGTTGCACTAGCTATATTATTTCACGTGGAAGAACTGAGGCAGTCCTGTCTGGCCCATTTGGAGTCCATTCACTCAGGAGTTAATGTGGCTGCGGGCCACTCAAGCTGTTTTCTGGGTGGGGTCTCCAGCTAGGAGCAACAGCAGATAAAATATCCTTCTCTTCCCCTCAGTGTGTCCCAGAGCTAAGAAGGAGAAGGCTGTGCTCAAAAGAGAACCACCATAGCTAGACTATTAAACTTAAGCACATGGGCATTGAACTCTGATCAAACCCCCCACTTGTCCAGCCCAGAGCAAGGCCGAGGGGAACAGGCAATGGGCAGTAGGACCGCTCCTGATCGCTCTAAAACTACAGTCAATACAGTAGCCAGTAACCACATGTGGCTATTAAGTACTTGAAATGTCACTAATGCCACTGAAGAACTAGGCTTTTAATATCATTTCATTTTAATTACATTTAAAAACTGTTATTTGATTCAATTTGATGGAAACTTTTAGGTATGTTTGAAACAACTTGGGTATGTAAATCTGCTTTTTCAACTGAAAATTTTATGAAATCTAAATGCAGATTCTTTTTGATAAAAATTTAGTGTCCACATTGAGATGTGCTCTAACTATAAGCTAAACACTAGAATTTAAAGACTTAGATTGAAAAACATGTACAATAGTTTATTTTTATGTTTATATTAATAACATGTTGAGGTGGTAATACTTTGGATATAGTGGATTTTTTTAAATGTATGAGATTTAATATGTTGAACATATTATTCAAATTAATTTCATCTTTTTAGATTTTATTTTTTTTTCTTGAGACAGAGTCTCATTCTGCCACCCAGGCTGGAGAGCAATGGTGTAATCTCAACTCACTGCAGCTTCCGCCTCTCAGGTTCAAGTGATTCTCATGCCTCAGCCTCCCGAGTAGCTGGGATTACAGGCATGTGTCACCACGCCTGGCTAATTTTTGTATTTTTAATAGAGACAAGGTTTTGCCGTGGTGGCCAGGCTGATCTCGAACTCCTGACCCTAGGTGATCTGCCCACCTCTGCCTCCCACAGCACTGGGATTACAGGTATGAGCCACCACACTCAGCCATCTTTTTAGCTTTTTAATGTGTCAACTAGAAAACTTAAAATTACGCATTTGAGTCACATTGTATTTCTATTGGACAGCACTGGGCTAAAATGTCTACAAGTTCAGATGGCTCCCTGGCTCCTCCTTCAGCCACCATCCTCCCAAGGGAGAGTCAGTGCTGACATGAGTCCCCTAAAATTCGTTCATCTTTCTGCTGGTAAGACTTCTTTTCATTTGTCCTAAGCTCATCACTGGGTTTCAGAGAGGTTCAGATACAGATGAACACTGAGGTTTGGAGCAATTTGGAGACTGCCCTCTTGCATTGACTGATTGCTTTCTATACCTGCCACCTCTGTCCTTTTCAGCTCCTCCCCTATAGCAACTCCCTCCCCAAAGCTCTCCAACTCATCCCCAACACCAGACAGCATTTTCTTGAACAGGAGAAGCTGCTTGGGCCTTTTTGCATGGTGACCTATTTTCCTTTCCAAAAAAGAGAATCAAAATCTAGTCCTTGTTCAATTTTGGTAGAAAAGTGGTGGGTGTGGATTGTTTTCAGGAAGTCTTCTATGAGCCTCAATCCTCTCAATTCAAGTCAGTAAACAAAGATGGAGGGGACAGAGTAGACAAGGGGAGCTGAAGGAGGGAAAGGTGAGGAGGCAAGTAGGCCCACACACCGCACACCCCACGCTATGCTACATGATGTTAAAAATATGTAAATGAATAGTGGAGTTGGCTTCCCACTGGACGCAACATTTGAACAGTGCCTTGAATAACAAGTAGGATTTTTCCAGAAAGAAAAGCTTTGCTGGGTGCAGTGGCTCATGCCTGTAATTCCAGCGCTTTGGGAGGCAAAGGTGGGAGGACTGCTTGAGCCCAGGAGTTTGAGACCAGCCTGGGCAACATAGGCAGACTTCATCTGTATAAATAAATAAATAAATAAATAAATAAATAAATTAGCTGGGCATGGTGGCATGCACCTGTGGTCCCAGCTACTTGAGAGGCTAAGGTGGGAGGATCACTTGAGCCCAGGAGGTTGAGGCTGCAACGAGTCATGATCACGCCACCACACTCCAGCCTGAGCTACAGAGTGAGGTCTTGTCTCAAAAAAAAAAAAAAAAAATTCAAAATGAAAGACAAGCCCATTTGTACCATCTGAAACATTTACTGTGTGGATTTTATATGGAGAAAGATTCTGCTTGTGTGGTTTGATAGAAAGGAGAAGCTGTGATGGGTAGAAGTAGAAAAATGATGCTCCTTGCCCATGCATGAGGTTTGCCTGATGACAGCAAAGTGTGAGGTTCCTCCAACCCTGAGAATTGGGAGGACAGAAAGGAAAGAGGAAGGTTGCAACAACTTCCCATTGGGTAAGTGCTGTCGCTACAAAATCCACCCCTGCAAATGCTTGCCAGTTTAGTGGCGTATGCTGAAATTGCACTTTTATTAATTTAACGAAAGCTACAAGAAAGTGGTGTGGAGATGCAGTGAGCAGAAGGGAGGGAGTCTTGTGCCAGGGAGCTGGAGACTTGCTTTTTAGCCCTGGCATGTCCTAGCTTCACGACCTTGAGCAAACCGTCCTTTCTAGGTCTCAGTTTCCCCATTTGTAAAATGAGAGGTAAAACTCAGGGGTCCTGCAGGTAACAACTGTGTGTGAGACATCAAGTAGTGGCAGCATTTGTGAAGAACTGGAGAACATGTCATAATGCAGCTATAGAAGCTCAGAATTTAAAAATCAACTACTGTGTTGTTCAAACAATACACAGGCGGCCAGGCACTGTGACTCATTACTGTAATCCCAGCACTTTGAGAGACCGAGGTGAGAGGATCACTTGAGCCCAAGAGTTCGGGATCGATTCTGGGCAACATAGCCAGACCCTGTCTCTATTTCTTTAAACAAGATATAAGAAGAAAGAGAGAGAGAAAGAAAAAGAGAGAAAATGCATGGGCAGCGCAGGCTAGATTTGGCCAACAGAACCAGTCCATAGCTCCTGAACTAGATGAATTTCATTTTCATTTTGAACAGATCAAGGGGGATCTCACCTGCTGAAAATAATACTGTCAGTCCTTTCATAAAGTGAAAAAAATCCCTTTAATAAAGCAAACACATTCTTTTGTTTAGTTTTATTATTCAAGACCATCTTTTATTTTAGTTGCTTAAACTGAGGTCCAAAGAATGAAATATTTCAAAGAATGGAACCTAGAGGAATGTGGTCTTAAGTAAGAAGTTGTTATTCCAGCTGAGGGGGGTTACCACACAGAGGGGCGGAAAATCTTACCCCCAATGCCTATCCAGAGGGGAACAGAACATCCAGTTTTTTCTCCTCCCTTTTTTTAGCCTTGAAAGCAAATGATCTAATCAAAGTATATTTACACAGGGATGATTCACTTGTGTTCTCTTATGATGTCAGAATATTGCAATAGGGAGGAGTTTAATTCACAATTGATTTCCACACTCCAGTGCGTTACTACTGAAGATGTGTCTGTAGCTGTTTATAGCATGAGACAGAACCTATATTAGGAGCCACTGCCCAAGACCAGGAAATAGGGGAGCAGAGGACGCATTGGTGGGAGGACCCTGTGCTTCTGCTCCAGCCGGGCTGCTCAGCACAACGTGGCACAGCAAGGGCAACTCTCCTTCCTCAGGGTCCTCAACTGGAAAGGAGAGGACAGAAAATCTCTTTCGTTGACAGCTCTTTGATAGACCTGCTTTATTTGTGGACTGTGGGGTCATGTGATTTCTGCTCAGCTTCATCACAGTGTATGTTTAAGAAAGCAGTTGATGCATTTTTAAAATTTGTATAACTTTAAGGGGTACAGATGCAGTTTTGTTACATGGATATATTGTGTGTGTAGTGGGGAGGTCTGGGCTTTTGGTGTAACCATCACCTGAATAATGTACATTGTGCCCATCAAGCAATTTTTTATCCCTCACCCGCTCCCACCCTTCCAAGTCTCCAATGTCTATTATTCCACAGTCTATGTCTATATGTACACATTATTTACCTCCCATTTATAAGTGGCAACATGCAGTACTTGGCTTTTTGAGTTGTTTCACTTAAAATAATGGCCTCTAGTTCTATGTATGTTGCTTCAAAATACATGTTTTATTTTTTTTTTCATTTTAATGGGTGAGTTGTATTCCATTGTGTATGTACACCACCTTTTCTTTATCCCACCATCCACTGATGACACTTAGGTTGATTCCACATCTTTGCTATTGTGAACAATGCTGTGATAAACTTAAGAGTGCAGGTAACTTGCCTTTGGGTAGATACCCAGTGGCGAGATTGCTGGATCGAATGGTCTTATAGCTTGGAAATCTCAACGACATGCCTAGAAAGTTCGCTCATTCATTTATTCATTCCACTAATGCCTGGTAGGTGCCTTCTCTATAGCAGGGACAGGCTATGCTTCTGTAAAGCATGGGACAGGCTGCCATGCTTTAAGGAGCTTAGGGACTGTGTATAGTTGGCATCTCACAGCTATTGAATGTCCTAAGCCTAAATAAGGTAGAGACAGGGCTTGAACCTGGCAAATACGAGGTGGGTGATGATAGTTGCTGCTCTGATTCAAGCACTCATTCTGCAAACACAGTCTGGGTCAGGAATGGGATACTGGAATAAATTAGGTACAGACCCTGCTCTCAGAAGAGCTCCAGTCCATAAATATGGAGCTCCAGTCCATAAATAGAAGCACAATACTCAACAATTAAACTATTTCAACTGAGTGTGGCAAGTATTGTAATGAGTACGCACTGGGAAGGGGCTTAAGGAGGTCAGTGAAGGCTTGTACTATGTGGTACATTGCACATTCGTGGCCCTCTATGAGCTGCACCCCCCAGTGTTCATCTCCTGGCATAGTTCTTTCCCGTGATGATCTTCAGCTTGGCCATGTAACTAGCTTAGCCAATGGAACATCAGCATTCATTGCATGGATATGCAAGCTGAAGCTTGATAAGTACTTGCACATTGGGGCTTGCTCTTTTGAAATGCTTCTTCCTGGAGAATACCCACCATGGTTTCAGGAGACTCAATTAGCCATGTGAAGAAACCCATATTGAGGAGAATTGGGCCCCTGACTCATAGCCTCAGCTAAGCTATCAGCAGGTGGCCAGCACCAACTACCACCAACTCTGGGGCCATTTGAACCCTCCACCCTAAAACCGCAGCCAACCCCATGGGAAGAAGAACTGCCTGAATCAACCTACAGAATCATAAGAAATAATGAACTGTTGCTGTCTTAACCACTATGTTTTGGGATCGCTTGTTCCACAGCAATGGATAACCAAAGCAAGCTGAGTTCCTGACGGCTGCATGGAAGTTAGCCATCCAAGAGAAGAGAGGGCATTCTAGATATGGAGGTATGCGTATCCAGGTACTAGGCAGCTCAGTACGGTGGGAATGTGGGGTATAAGGTGGCAGTTACTGGAAATGGGGAGGCTCACCTGAAGGTAAATCTGGAGTCTGCAAGACCACCCCTCATTTTGCAGATTTGCTAAAAGGATGCATAGAACTCAGCATGTAGGTGTACTCACAGCTATGATTTATTACAACAAAAGGATCAAAGCAAAAGCAGCAAAGGGAAAGGCACACAGATGAAGTCTGGGGAAAGTCAAGTGCAAGCGAAATTGTTCTTCTCGAGAATCCTGAGTTCTTTCCCAGTGGCATCACACAGGACATGCTAATTACCCCAGCAATGAGTTGTGACAACCCATGTAGAACATTGCCAACCAACAGGAATCGATGCCTAGGATTTTTCTTGGGTGGCTGTGCTGATTAATTTTTTTTTTTTTTTTTTTTTTTTGAGACAGTGTCTCGCTGTGTTCCCTAGGCTGAAGTGCAATGGCGCGATCTCGGGACACTGCAACCTCTGCCTCCCAGGTTCAAGCAATTCTCCTGCCTCTGCCTCCCAAGTAGCTGGGATTACAGGCACCCGCCATCACAGCCGGCTAATTTTTTGTATTTTCAGTAGAGACGGGGTTTCACCATGTTGGCCAGGCTGGTCTCGAACTCCTGACCTCAGGTGATCCACCCACCTCAGCCTCCCAAAGTGATGGGACTACAGGTGTGAGCCACTGTGCCCGGCACTGCTGGTTAATTTTTATGTCAACTTTGTTAGGCTATGGTACCCAGTTATTTAATCAAACACCAGACTAGATATTGCTATGAAAGTGTTTTTTAGATTTGATTAACATTTAAATTACTCAAATACTTTGAGTAAAGAAGATTATGCTCTATAATGAGGGTGGGCTTCTTCTAATTAGTTGAAGGTCTTGAGAGTAAAGACTCAGGTTTCCCTAATAAGAAGGGGGTATTCTTCCCAAAACTGCTACATAGACACCCTGCCTGAGCTTCCAGCTGCAGAATTTGGGCTCAAGGCTGCAACAACAGCTCGGAATTTCCAGCTTGCCAATCTGCCCTACGGGTTCTGAACTTGCCAGCTCCCACAATCATGAACCAATTCCTTAAAATAAACCTCTCTCGGCCAGTCACGGTGGCTCACGCCTGTAATCCCAGCACCTTGGGAGGTCGAGGCGGGTGGATCACAAGGTGAGGAGATCGAGACCATCCTGGCCAACATGGTGAAACACTGTCTCTACTAAAAATACAAAAATTAGCTGGACATTGTGGTGCGTGCCTGTAATCCCAGCTACTAGGGGGGCTGAGGCAGGAGAATCGCTTGAACCAGGGAGTCGGAGGTTGCAGTGAGCCAAGACTGTGCCACTGTACTCCAGCCTGGTGACAGAGCAAAACTCTGTCTCAAAAAAAAAATTTTTTTTTAAAAACCTCTCTCTCTCTCTCTTTCTCTCTCTCTCTGGTGTGGAGAACCCTGACTAATTCAGGGGTGGTCAAATAGGTACCTTCTGCCTGGCATGTACCCAAATTCCAGACTTTCAGAAGGAAGGCAGGTGTTCAGCATAAACCATATTGTTTAGACAAACAATTTAGGCACAGCGAGCCACTCTTGTCGGTTCCTGGTGAGAACTGTTCCAAACTCCAGGCAAGAACCAACGTGCTTCTTATGAAGCAGGGCTTCCTAAGAACAGGCAGTGAGGCCTACCATGTTTACTCTTTTCTGTAGAGAAGGTAAACAATTTAAATTGAGGGAAAAGGGAGTCAGTGAGTTTTTTTATGTAAATATGTTCCTCCACTGAAGGTTTTAAGAAGGAGGTGACATGTTTTGTTCCATGAGGTGGCAGCTGTGTTGGGGATGGCTCACAGAGGGACGAAGGAGGGAAGCAGGCTTCAGATTAGGAGGCCTAGGCCAGGCATGATGCCTCACATCTGTAATCCCAGCACTTTGGGAGACCAAGATGGGAGGTTTACTTGAACCCAGGAGTTCGACACCAGCCTGGGCAACATAGGGAGACCCTGCTTCTACCAAAAAATAAAAAATTTTAATTAGCCAGGCATGTGCTTGTAGTCTCAGCTACTCAGGCGGCTGAAGTGGGAGGATCACTTGAGCCTGGGAGGTCGAGGCTGCAGTGAGCCATGAACGAGCCACTGCATTCTAGCCTGGGTGACAAAGTGAGACCCTGTCTCAAAAACAAACAAAAAAAAGAGTGGCCTCTCTGGCTATCAGGCAGAGCAAAGGTGGAGAGGTGAAGATAGATTTGAGAAAACAGCAGGACTCTTGGTAGAAATGTCCCCACCTCCCGAGCAGTCACCTCCTCTCCCATTCAGTGGGAGCCTGGGAGCCTCAGAGAAAGTTGTATGTGTGTTATGTGTGTTGTCTGTGCTGTGTGTGTGTTGTGTGTATCTTTTGTGTGTGTGGTGTGTTGTGTGTGTGGTACATGTATTTGTGTGAGTGTGAGTGTTGGGCTATCTCGAATTTCACTCTCCTCTCCTGGGTTATCAGGTGAGAGATGAGACGGGCACCTGCCATGGCTGACAGACAGGAGGCACGGGGAGGGCTGCATCTGTATCCATGGTGGAGGTCAGTCAACCACCTGGAGACCTGAAGCCCCCACAGGCCAGGCCCTTGTCCCCCTCCTCCCTCCCATCACAGTCCACATAGGGTTTGTCCTCTCTGGGACCTCAGGGGTACACCTAGAGCTTCATAGCTGAAGGGATTTGGTGGAACATTAGGCTTTCATTATTCAAAGTGATGGTCCTGGACCAGCAACACTGGCATTTCTTGGAAGCTTTGTAGAAAAGCAGAATCCAGGCCCCAGCCCAGTCCAGGCCCTACAAGATCAGAATCTGGGTTTTAACAAGATCTCCAGGTGATTCATCTGAACATTAAAGTTTAAGAAACACCACCCTCTGCGTGTCCTGCTGCACTGGTGATGATGTGGCTGTGGTGGTTAAATCAAGCACTGGGTACCATGAAGGCAGACTGCAGCCTCCTGTTTAACTTTTGGCTGATGCTCTTGGAATTATAATAAATTATACTATAAAATAAATAAATAATATTTAAATACTACTAGTAGTACTAATGATGATGATTCTAATAGGAATAATGAGTAACAATTTGGGGACTTCATGTGTTAGCTCCTATTAAGGTCTCGATGCACGCAGTATCTCATCTAACTTCATAACATAACTTCATCTGACTTCTGTCACTAGTGACAGAATGTGTTCATAATGAGCGCCTTTTTCAGCAGCCGCCTCCCCCTTGTGCCTCTTCCGGGTGGATTCCAAGTTGGCCTGCCGACCCTCGCCCTTTCTTGTTGCCCTTAGTGGAGAGGAGACTTGAAAGGGGACTAAAGTCTAAATTGATGCACATTTTTTTTAAAGGGCCTGGAGCTTGTCCCAGAAGCAAGCACCTGGTCCAGAAGGCCAGGAAGGAGTCAAGAGAGAAGTGGAGGGAGAGGAGGGAGCCAGCCCAGCACAGAGATGCAGAAAAGAGAGGAGGAAGATTTGGGGGAGAGGCTGCCTTGACAACCAAGCTCTGGAATGGGCTGGGCAAGGAGAATGTTCAGGGAATTTTGTGTTCTGCTCTGTAGCTCCCCTTTGCCATCTCCTTGGGAGAGGTTTTTTTTTTTTTTTGTATATATTTACATTTCTTTTCCAAATATTTTTTGAGCTGGAATGATGTGCCTTCTGAATGCAACGTGGAACTGAGCTTGAACCCAAAGCGATCCGACCTTATTTGTGTTATACTCTTAGCCCCACAATTTACAGATAAGGAAGCAAAGGTTAGAGAGTTGAAATAAATTGCCTAGGCTTGTGCAGCCAGTAAATGTTGAAACCAGCTTCCCATAAGCAATCTGTGCCAGTGGACAGCAACCATGTGCCAAGTGGTTGGTTCAGATGAGCATTAAACCTCTTGTTACTATTCCCATGGCTATTTTCAGACTCCTCCAAGCAGCAGGTCTTCTTCCTCCTCCTCGTTCTCTTTTTCTTCTTCTTGTTTGTGAGACAGGATCTCACCGTGTTGCCCAGGCTGCAGTGCAGTGGTGCCATCACAGTTCACTGCAGCCTCGACTTCTGGGCTCAAGCAATCCTCCCACCTCAGCCTCTGAAGTAGCTGGGACTACAGGTATGCGCCAACACACCTAGATACTTTTTGGATTTTTTGAACAGATGTGATCTTGCTTGTTGCCCAGGCTGGTCTCAAACTCCTGGGCTCAAGTGATCCTCCCTCTTTGGCCTCCCAAAGTGCTGGGATTACAGGTGTGAGCGACCGCACCCAGCCTGGGTGGAGGGTCTTCAAATTGCCAGTTCACACACACAAGTGACTGTAGAGCTCTTGGACAGTGAATGCCATTTTGTGCACTCCCTTCCTTGAAGTATGTTTCCCAAATTGTCCCCTCATCTTCCTTTTCCTTCTCAATGAACCACCCACTCCCTTCCTGAAACAGCCTCTGTATGGGCCTCTCACAGGTGCTGTCTGTATGAGTGGACATTTCCTGAGGTCTTCATCAAGGTTTGCCCTTGTACCTTAAAGCCAGCAGCTGGGATGGCTGATCAGAAGATGGTAGGCATTTAGAGGAGAGTTGGTATAGGAGGTCTTGCCAAAACCATGCACTCCGTTAGAGATCATTTACTGAGCCCATACGGGGAAAATAGCCCTTCCTGGAGGCAACGCTCTCTGCTGCCCTCTGAAACCCTCCCTGACTTAAAAGCTCTCTTGTCAGTAAATAAAACTAAGCTCACCATGGACCTCTTTTGCCACCAAGGGTCAGAAGGGCTTCCGCTAGGCAATGTTGAAGAGATTGGCCTGTGGAAAATGTGCCTGGCTAGTAAAAAGAGGGAAACGGAAACTTCTATACTTTTTATCCTATAATGACTCAAGTATAAGAAAAATGTAGATAACAATATCAGCCACCCAGCTTTGCCAATCTTTGAATTTCTCACATTTATTTCAAATCACTTAGGTACATGTGAAACTCCTGTGTACCTCTCCCCAATCCTATTAAACATGTTATTTAATATCCCCGTGCATATATTTATACCTTTACCACATATGACTATATCAGAAAGAATATCTGGTTGGGTTTCGCATGTTTTTAACTTTTATGTGAATAGTACTATATATAACTTCTACAACTTGCTGTTTCTACTCAATGGTATGTTACAATGAAATTAGCAATGCAAATACATGTAGCTCTTGCTTATTTATTTTGCCTGGATAGTATTCCATTTTGTAACACTTATCCATCCTCCCGTGGTTGGACATTTGGGCTATTTGCAAGTTTTTTCTGATACGCACAGTGCAGAATGACCAATATTGCAATTGGATAGGTGTGTTAGCATGTGGAAGAGATTCTAGGATATGTACATGTGTCATAGGAAGGAACTTTTCATATGACAAGAATTCTGGATTGCATTTCAAATTTAGAAATTGTAGCCAAGGGGGTATGAGATGAGCACAGTGACTGCCTCCAGCTTCCACTTCAGGAGCCCCATGTCCTAAGTGAGTGAATGTGGTCATGTTTCAGCAAGAATGTGGTCCGTGACAGTGCTCTTATATCCAGACCCTGCAGAGTCACACCTGTAGACTCTGCTGTGAATCATCTATCTCATCTGTGTTCCTTTTGGATCTACAGTTGGAAACAGTGACAATTTGGAGGGTTCTGATGAGTCACACTGAGTGATAGTGAGAGAGCGGGGGAGAGGGTGTGACTGTTTAGAGGAGGGGAAATGGGTTTATCATGGGGAAATCAGGAGGACTAATGGCCATTAGCCTTTTTGGGGTAATCAACCACCCAGGAAAGATTTCTTATTCTCTTAATTCTGTGGGTTCCTCTGTTGGTCTGTCCTGGGCACTCTTGTGTGGTTAGTTTCAGCTGGAGGTTGGCTGAGCAGGAAGGCCCCATAAGGTCTCACTCCCATGTCTAGAAGTTGGTGCTGGCTGTTGGCTAGGTCACTGTGATGCCACTGCCCGTGGCCTCTCACCCTCCAAGAAGTAAACCCAGCTGCCTTACATGGTGGTCTCAGGGCAGTATTCCAATCAAGCGGAAGCAGATGAAGGTGGGACCTAAAACTCACATATTAAATAGCATCACTTCCACCGAATTCTGTTGGCCCAAGCAAGTCACAAGACCAGTCCAGATTTAAGGAGAAGACAAGTGGATGTCCCCTCTTGTCGGAAGGAGCAGGAAAGACACATTGCAAAGAAGCATGGGATGAATTGCTTCTGCCGTCTTTGAAAACAGTCTCCCATGGTTGAGCAATTTGGGCAGAGATGGAACTTTAACATTCACCCTTGAGATTTTAGCTAGAGTCTTCTATGCAATTTCCTAAATAAATCAGGATGATATAACTCATCAGCCTGGCTTTCCTGGCTAGAAGGTGGTTCACAGGACTGCTGGTCCTCCTCTTTATCAGAAGTCCAACAAGGCAACTACCTTCAACCTTTGTGAATTCTTTGATACTTATTTTTTAAGCACTTCGTGTATACAGTGCATTGTGCTCGGTGCCTGGCACACAACAGTGAACAAAACAGGTGTGCAGAGGAAATGTAAGTGGGCGCTCTGACCTTGTGCCATGGGAAACTTCCCAAGGAAGATATGTGAGCTAGATTTTCAAAAACAAATAGGCATTATGCAAGCTGAGGGAGTGGGGAGGGTGGTAAACGGGAATACTTCAGGCAAGAGAAACATTATGTAGTAGGGTCCTAGAGAGGCAAGAAGCCTGCATGTCTGAGGAACTGAGAATTAAACAGAAGAAAGGCGAGAATTGACCGGATGAGATTGGAAAACAGGCAAGGCTCCAGGTCGTGCAGGGCTTTATAGACCATGTAAATAAAGGGTTTTGTTCTATCCTGAGAGTAACAGAAATGTGTAGGTATGTGTTATGGACTGAACTGTGTGCCCCCAAGTTTATATGTTGAAGCTCTGTCTCCTAGTGTGACTGTATTTGGAGACAGAGCCTTTAAGGAGATAATTAAAGTTAAATGAGGTCATAGGGTGGGGCCCTAACTCAATAGGACTGGTGTTCTCATAACAAGAGGAATAGAAACCAAGACAGCTGCGGCACAGAGGCAAGGCTGTGTGAGGACACAGGGAGAAAATGGCCTTCTGCAAGCCAAAAAGAAAAGCCATAGTATAAACCAACCTGCTGGCACCTTGATCATGGACTTCTAGCCTCCAGGTTGTAAGAAAATAAATTTCTGTTGTTTAAGCCACCCAGTCTCAGATACTTTGTTATGGCAGCCCTAGGAGACTAATACAGCCTGTGAAATACTGAGATTTATGCTCCCAAGAAATCACCCTGGTTGTCTCGTGGGGATGGACCCAAGAAACAAAAATTGTCTCAGGAAGATAATCTAGGAGGCCGTAGCAAATATCTATGCAGGAGTAGGGCTGGCCTGCAGTAGGCTGGCTGCAGTGAGGATAGAGAGAATGGAGGCATGACCGAGAGGGGAGGCAGGGACCATTTAGAGGGAGGACGGGGTGGAGGCCTGATTGGAGGAGATCCATTGAGGAGTTCTGGGGAGGAATGTCAGTGCTCTTCAGTTTGGCTACAAAGAGAAGAGAGATGGGCAATAGATAGAGGATGAAGTGGAATAGAGTTTTGTTTTCTTATAAAATGAATGACACATAAGAATTTGCTTTTGAAACAGGGTCTCACTCTGCCACCCAGACTGGAGTGCAGTGGTGTGATTATAGCTCACTGCAGCCTCAAACTCCCGGGCTCAAGTGACCCTCCTGCCAGGAGGCTGTGGTCCCAGCATCCCGAGTAGCTGGGACCACAGTTGCACGTCACCACACCCAGCTAATTTTTAAAATTTTTGTAGAGGCAGGGTCTCGCCATGTTGCCCAGGCTGGTGTTGGACTCCCAGCCTCAAGCAGTCATCTTGCTCCGACTTCCCAAAGTGCTGGGATTACAGGCATGAGCCACCATGCCCAGCCCCATATAAGCATTTTAAATGCCGCTGGAAGGCTGGCTAGAAAGAAGACTTGAATAAAAGTGTCAGGTTCCACCCGGGGAGATAGGAGGCATCACATCCAAACTGCATGTGCTTTATGAGAGAGGGAATGAAGGAAAGAAAGTAATGTATAAACAAGAGAATGAATGAATGAATGAAAAGCACCTTTCTGTATGCACTAAACTATATTGTTAGTTAGAGGCTGCAATGCAGCCGCCATCCATTTTGAGGGTACATCACCTACCCAGTGAACCTATTCATAAAGCAGCTTGGGCTCTTTCCTCCTCCTTCAGCTGTATGTTTCCGATGCCCCACATGGCCATGGGCATGAGCTAAGGGAGCTACTGCCCAGGGATCCTGCTTGCTTGTACCCTCCAGTCCTGTTCATGCCCAGTTCCAGGCGTGCCTCTTCTGTCTCACTATGGCCTGCAGCTGGGCCTGCTGCACTCTGATTTGGTGGTTCTGATATGACTCAGTTCACAATGGGCAGTTTCAGCTTCATGGTCACTTGGTGTCCCATGCTCAGGTGATCAGTCTATCGTAGGGCCCAGAAGCATGCCAGTTGTTCAAGAGGCATTTAGTTCTCCACTGCAGAGGCCACGGCTTCACTCCAGTACCCAAGGGCCTGCACTGTGATTCTCCATTGGGACTGGCAGGAAACCTCACACGGCAGCTTCTCCCATCACTGACACCTCCCCGTCCATAGGTCTAGAGGATCACATGCCCCAAGAGGCAGAGGTGCTGGCAGCTGCAGCCGGGCCCTGCCCCAGAGCCCTTTCGTGTCGTCCAGTGGATGGGCCTGGCACAGTCCGCTCAGCCTTTCCCACCCTTCTAGTGACACATGATTTCCAGATGTCCGTGGCCACAAAAGGGAGTAAATATATAATTTTAACAACTACCCACCCCCCGCCCAATTCGTATTCCATCCTTGCAATTTCCCTGGAAGCCCAGGCTTAAGCTTTTTGTCTTTCAGATGAGGAAACTGAGGCCTAGAGTGGTAGAGACTTGTTTATGAATGCTATACAGTGGGAGACAGAACCAGCAAGAAAACCAGGAGCCTTGGACTGAGCAGTAAAATGTTTTAGAAACAGGGAAAGTCGGGTAGAGTGGAGGAGAGCATGGTAGAGGGTGCCCAAGTAGATTAACAGCCAGCTCCAGCCTGGCTGACTAGAGGAAGATATGACTCTAAAAGTTGCCTGATTAAACCAAGGTCATTGTATTAGTCAGTTATCATGCTACTAGGAAGAAATACCTGAGACTGGGTAATTTATAAAGAAGAGAGTTTTCATTGACTCACAGTTCTACACGGCTGGCTGCGGAGGCCTCAGAAAACTTATACAGTCACGGTGGAAGGCACCTCTTCACAGGGCAGCAGGAGGGAGAATGAGTGCCAAGCTAAGGGGGGATGCCCCTTATAAAACCATCAGATCTCGTGAGAACTCACTATCACGAGAACAGCATGGGGAAAACCACCCCCATGACTGAATTATTTCCACCTGGTTCCACCCTTGACACATGGGGATTATTACAGCTCAAGGTGAGATTTGGGTGGGGACACAGAGCCAAACCATATCAGTCATCCCTTAGCACATGGAAGTGGATGGTGTGGCTCGGGCAATCCTCAAGACTCTGCCTCAACCCTCATCTCCCTCTACACTCCCCCCTCACCCCAAAATCCAGGCTATTTAGAAGACCAAGTGTTTGACACCCACTTATAGTAGATGAAACCAAATTAGGTGCTCAATGAAACCCAAGAATATTCCAATAAAAGATAAGAGAACTAAGTCAAGGACTTTGAGCTCCCTTTTCTCTAATGTTCATTTTAAAAGCAGCAAACTTAACTCTTAGCAGAATCACCTGCAGGGTTTTCCCAAACTCAGATTCTGAGCCTCGCTCCCAGGGTTTCTGATCCAGTAGGTCTGATCAGGGCCCAAGAAAATGCACTTTTCTCACAAGGTCCAAGGTGATGCTGTGGTCAGCATCACCAGAGAAGCAGAACCAATAGATGCATGTGTGTGTGTGTGTGTGTATGTGTGTGTGTGTGTGTGTGTGTGTAAAAAGATTATTTATAAGAAATTGGGCTCAGTGCAGTGCTTCATGCCTGTAATCCCAGCACTTTGGGAGGCCGAGGTGGGAGGATCACTTGAGCCCAGGAGTTTAAGACCAGCCTGGACAACATGGCAAAACCCCATCTCTACAAAAAAATATACAAAAATTATCTGGGCATAGCTGGGCATAGGCCCAGCCACTCAGGAGGCTGAGGTGAGAGAATCACCTAAGCCCAGAAAGTCAAGGTTGTGGTGAGCCATGATGGCACCACTGCACTCTATCCTGGGCAACAGCGTGAGACCTTGTCTCAAAGATAAGCATATATATATTTCTTTGGAAAGCCAGGCTTTCCAGAAAAAAATTGGCTCACAATTATGGAGGCTGACAAATCCTAAATCTGTAGTCAGGAAGATGGAGACCCAGGAGAGTTACTGGTGTAGTTCCAGTCTAGAAGTCTGCAGGCTGAAGACCTAGGAGGAGCTAATGTTTCAGTTTGAGTCTGAGAACTTAAAAAAAAAATGATGTCCCAGCTCAAAAGCAGTCAAGCAGGAGGCATTCTCCCTTACTTGTGGCAGGGTCAGCCCTTTGTTCTATTCAGGCCTTCAACTGATTGGATGGCGCCCACCCACACTGGGGAGGACAATTTTTATTCAGCCTGACATTTCAAATGTTAACATCAGCCAGATGTGGTGGCTCACGCCTATGATCCTAGCACTTTGGAAGGCTGAGGAGGCAGGCTGCCTGAGGCCAGGAGTTCAAGACCAGCCTGGGTAACATGGTGAAACCCTTCTCTACTAAAAATACAAAAAATTAGCTGAGCATGGTAGTGTGTGTCTGTAGTCCCAGCTACTCAGCAGGCTGAAGCGCGAGAATCGCTTGAACCTGGGAAGTGGAGGTTGCAGTGAGCTGTCTTTAAAAAAAAAAAAAAGTTAACATCATGTTAACATCATCCAGAAACATCTTCACAGAGACACCTAGAATAACATTTGGCCAGATATCCAGGCACCCCATCGCCCAGTCAGGTTGACTCATAAAATTAATTATCACGGATGCTGCTGCTGCTGCTGCTGCTGCTGCTGTGTGACCAAACTTTGAAAATCACTGCTTGGGAGTGTCTGCCTCTCTTTGAGGTGGGGTTAAATCATTATCTCCCCATCTCACAACCTACAGGGGGAACACCTATGATCACAGGACAGGAGTCACAGCAGGATAGACACAGCCAGCCACAGTGGCCAAGCTTGACTGGCTGGCAGACTGTTGGGGGCATAGAGTCTTCGGCTGAGTGGCTGGAATCCTGTGTTGCTCATCATCAGATCCCAAAAGACACTTCATCTCCCTGGGCTCCAGCTTCATTTAGGATCCGCAGATAATACACAGGAACTACTAACACTAAAACATTATTTGCTATTTATCTGAAATTCAAATTTAACCTGCATCCTTTTTCTCTTTTTTCTTTCTTCTTCTTTTTTTTTGCTAAATTTGGCAACAGGGCAGGCCACTGCTGCTGTCATTAGAAAGACTCATTTCAGCCCAGGCAAGGGGAGGAGAGCAAACCCAGAGATGGTAACCTGCTCCCCTGAACCAGAGGAAGCAGAGACCTTCTCACAAGGACCAGGCGAGGGATGTGAGTCGGCCTGAAGGGAGGGTGGGAGATGTCCGGGCTCACTTAACCACAGAAGGGTGGACCTCTCAGACCAACACTGACACCAGCAGTAAACAGGAAATGCCCTCCAACCGCAGGCCTCCTGCTCTTCCTGCCAGGGTCGAGAAGATTCTAATCCAGATTCAGAAGAGGAGCTGACTGGCCTCTGGCAAGCCCAAGCTGGATTACCAGCTGCGGAGGCAGAGGTGCCTGAGGTTTCCCAGCCCCCAGGCCAGAGGAGGCTGCTACACCCACTTCCCCCACGAAGCTGGGGCCCAGGCCAGAGAGAGAGCCCCAAAGCTGGTTTGGGGGCGGGGAGCTTCCCTACAGGCCCTGGAGGTACCAGGAGTGGGTGAGGTGCGGGGTGGGTGGCCTCCACAGTCCGGGTACACAGTTTGTCTGGGAGATTTCCTGGTTGCTGGTATGGGGGGGAGGTGTTCTTGTAGCTGCTGCAGGAACCTCTCCCTGTGAGCTCCATGGATGGGAAGTCGGGGTGTGGAGTGTGTAGTACTAGAATCTGCCATCTCCAGCTCTGTGCCTGTTTCCCCCAGCCCCATAGGCCCCAAGACAAAGCAAGAGGAATGAGAGGAAGCACAGCCGGGTCAAAGCTCCGAGCCACGAGTACTGAGGCAGGTGGTGGTACCCAGACCCCCTCTCCATAGCTCCCATGAGAGCACAAGGCGGAGGAGAGGACAGACTCCTGGCCTGAGGGGCCAAGCACCAGCTTCTCAGCCAGCTCTGCCACTGACTTGCTGCTTGGCAAGTCACTTAACTGTTCCAAGCCTCAGTTTTCACTTCTGGAAATGGGGATATGACCCCCTGCCTGCCCCCTCATGCTGGCATAAGAATCAATGACCTGTGACAGGACTTTGTAAATTATAAGTTGGTATTAGTTAGGCCTCTTTAGTCACAAATGTGAGAAACTGACATTAAATGAGGCAATGCAAAAGGGGGATTCACCAGCTCAGAGGCCCAAGACCCAGGGCAGGGAGAGGAGGCGCTGTCATTCCCTCTCACCCCTGCATCTCTCTGCAAGTCAGTCTCTTCTTCCGCAAGCCTGGAGCCAACTTCACCTCCTAAGAGGAGCTTCTCTGCTCTGTCACTACCAACTTGAACAACCACAGGGAGGGCCCTGAATTGTGTCACATGTCCACCCATGGCTGTGAGACACTATCTTATGCAGCTTCTTCTGGAAGCTTCTTATTTTGATTGTTGGCATCAGCATTATAAGTTTGCCACATTTTCCTGATTCCTATCCTCCTTGGACAAAATAACATAGGGGCTAAGGGCACAGGCTCTGGAACCCAGATTACCTGGATTCAAGTTCTGGTTCTGCCATTTTCTCACTGTGTAACGTTGGGCAAGTCGCTTAACTTCTCTGCACCTCAGTTCATAAATCTGTGAAAACTAAATGAGTTGATACATGGGAAGTATGAACAATTGTGCCTGGTGCCGGCCAGGGGTTCAACAAATGTTAATCATTATTATTGTCGGAGAATGAAGGGGCAGTGCCTGGGAATCCCAGGATGAGAGACAGCCTGAAGAAAAACCATCCTGCTCCACCTACTCCTCAACCTTCTTCCGGGGAGAGCTGACAACTGCAGGAGCTATGGCTCAACAAAGATGTACAGAGCTATGCAGTAAGCCCTGAGAATTACAAAACTTGACAGACAAAGTCGCTTTTTCTCCAGAAGCTCATTGCCAAGTAAGGGAGATAGAAGCATGAAGAGATCATTTCTATCCTGTGCTGGATAGAAGCGTGTGTATGTCTCTGTGGGAAGCCACAGTGGGACAACTGGTCCAGAGAGAGCTGCCTGGAAGAAATGACACCTGAGCTAAGGCCTGGAGCAGGGGCAAGAGCTTGCCAAGCAAGGAAAGGAGGGCAGGGCGTTGTGCTGTCCATTGGCTATTCAGTCTCGGCTCCAGATCTCCACTTGTCAGGTTGGCGCTACTGGGGCTTGATCTGTGCAAATTACATGTCCCCAGGTCAGCTGGTTCTGGCAGGTTCTTCCAATAGGGGGCACTAGGAGACTGAGGTCAGGAGGAGAGAAGGCACTTGCTCTTTTGTGCTTGCTTGCTTCTCCCCAGCAAGCTTTTTGCCGCAGAAGCATCCACTGAAGCCTCCAGCTTTCTTCAGCCTCAGCAGCTGGAAGCCATGTGAAGCAGCTGACAAACAGCTGGAGGCTGAGATGCCTGCTGTGGGGGGAGCAACAGTTTAAACCAGTGAGCATGTAGCATCGGAAAGCTTCCCGATGGATGATAGGTAAGGTCGGGTATGCAGATGGCCTTCCTGTGCAGGGCTGGGGACCAGAAAGAGGCAGCTAGGGGCAGGGGCCAGCCCCAGGGCAGGTTCAGAACCAAGACCCCATGTTGTGGGAGAATGGGGCCCATCAGGTGGGGCCTGGGCCCAGGGAGCTCTGGTGCAGATGCATGGAACTAAAGCACCCAAAACCTCCTCTGAGTTCCCAGCACTGATGGTGTTTTCAGAGATCATCGTGGCTCCCAGCCCGGGGAAGCCAGACTCAGGGCCAGGACTCTGAGTGGGGGGTTAGGAGAGGCGGCAGCTCTAAGGATGGAAGTTGGTGCTGACAGCAAGGGGCTGGCTCTATCCTCTGAGTATCTGGGAGCCATCATGGATCAAGGTCTCACTCCCATATTAGGAAAATTCTTTAAAAATTCCTCCGTGCAGTGCAATCTTGATTCTCCAGTGTGGGATGGGAGCATTGTGCCCCAGATATGGGAAGTCCTGGGCCACTTCCCTGGACCAGAAGTGCCGTGTCCCCACAACCCATCAGAGAGCTGGGGAAGTGCCATCCAGGCGAGCCTGAGCAGGTCCCCGGCCTTTCCCAATTCCCACATGTGCAATGGGAATGCAGCCAGTCAGAAGCAAGGGCCTCTGGCTCTGTGCCTCCACAGGGTAAGGCTGACCACAGGACTAGTCAGCCAAGGTTCGTGGACCCCTGCCAGTGCTGGCCTTGGCTCCAGGACAGGAATGTCCCTAAAGAGCTGAGGACCTTCCTTCTAGTGCTGCTCCCGGATGGAGGGCGGGGCACAAAGAACACAGCATGGATACGGAGGACCCAGGCTGTGAGCTGTCACCCTCCACTGGGCCTGGGGATGGTGGAGGGGGAGGATGGATGGAGAGATGGGAGAGGGGGATAAGTGAGGGAAGGAGGAAGGGAGGGAGACAGGGAGGTGGGGGAGAGGAGTCACACTGACGTCCAGGTTATGGACAGAAACGGACAGCTGAGGAGCCCATCAAGGCATACTAATGCCGCTGAGGCCGAGCGCATGTGCCCTCCCTTGGGCAGCTCCACTTCTCTGGGAATTCGTCATATGGCACCTGGCTTGCACTTCAGTCTCTGTGAGTCCATCCAAGGGAGTGAGTCCTACACTCCTATTCAGCTCTGGGAGCCACAGCCTGCTCAAAGAGCATCTGAAGCCACCGAGGCAAGCAGCAGACCTGGTGGCCCCGCTGTGAGCAAATTAGCTCATCTTCCTGGGACCCATAGAGCCGTCGGCCATTCCAAAATATCAGCCTCTTCGCTGGTTTCCGCCCAGCTGCCAAGGGACTACCCATGGACTTGGGGGTTGACCTTTCACTGCCTCCAGCTCATGGGGATGGACTTCCGCTCTAAAGGCAAGGGAGCATTGCCAACCCCTGCCACTCCAACAAGAGGGAGCTGTTCTTTTTCACTGTAGGGATTAAAACTCACAACAAAAACACTCAAGAAGCAGGCCAGGCACGGTGGTTCACACCTGTAATCCCAGCACTTTGGGAGGCCAAGGCAGGCAGATCACCTGAGGTCGGGAGTTCAAGATCAGCCTGACCAACATGGAGAAACCCCATCTCCACTAAAAATATAAAATTAGCCAGGCATGGTGGCACATACCTGTAATCCCAGCAACTTAGGAGGCTGAGACAGGAGAATCGCTTGAATCTGGGAGGCAGAGGTTGCAGTGAACTGAGATCATGCCATTGCATTCCAGCCTGGACAACAAAAGCAAAACTCCGTCTCAAAAAAAAAAAAAATACCCAAGAAGCCCCAGCTCCAATGCACTGTCAGAGCCTTCCAAAGTCCTCTTTTGTCACCACCTCATGGGGGTGGCTTCCAGTGACTACCGAGCAGACCATCAGACACTTATTCTCTGGTCATTCCAGGCATGTGACACATTGCCAGCCACTGGCATTGCCAAGAAGCTTGGGACGGACTGCTACCATAGTCACCTCAGGGGCATTACAAGCAGATGTGCCCGAAGTACTAGAAAGTTAATATCTATTTACTCATTTATTTTTGAGATGGAGTCTTGCTCTGCCGCGCCCAGGCTGGAGTACAGTAGCACCATCTTGGCTCACTGCAACCTCCCCCTCCTGGGTTCAAGTGATTCTCCTGCCTCAGTCTCCCAGGCAGCTGGGATTACAGGCACCTGCCACCACGCCCTGCTAATTTTTTGTATTTTTAGTAGAGACGGGGGTTTCACCATATTGGCCAGGCTGGTCTCGAACTTCCGACCTCAGGTGATCCCCCCCGCCTCGGCCTCCCAAAGTGCTGGGATTACAGGTGTGAGCCACTGCGCCTGGCCAAAGTTAATATTTATATTATCCAAAACCAGAGGTTCTACAGGAACAAGTATTTACTTCCCTTTGTACAGAGGCCCACCTGCTAGGGCAATGGTTAGGTGCACATGACATAAACCAGGCAATGTTAGAGGTACGTGCATATGGTATCTTTGCAGGGGTAAGGGATGGTTTTAACATAGGCCTTGGAGATTTCTAGGAGATTGGTCATTTCCTTAAACAGCTTATTTCTGGCATGAAAAACTTCCATCTTCAACACTCTTACTCCCTCCCATTACTTCAATTTCTACCTTTACTCCTAAATATGCAGCTACAGCCTTGACTTGGTTCTCGAGCTCCAGATTTGGCAAACTCACCTATCGCCACAGAGAAGTCTCACGGCCAAGCTGAATAAAATAAAACGCTTCTCTTTGCTGTAAGCCCACTCCTCCTCCCATCTTCCCTGTTCCTGTGAGCCATAACACATTCACCTCATCATCAAGGGTCACACCCTTAGAATCCTCACCGACAGCTCCTAACCCACAAGCAGGAAGGCTGGGCAGTGCACCCTCACTGCTTGTCTCAGACCCCTCACGTCCCTCATACCTACTGTCACAGCCCCAGGTCACCTAGAAAGCTGCTCTCCTCCCTCCTTTTCTTACAGCACAACGAGCCAGATTCATCTTCCAAAGCACCGCTGTCCTCTCCAAGCTGCAGTCTCTCACTCTCTTGCCCTTAGAGTAAGTCCGAATGCCTCACCCGGGCCTCCATGATCCAGCCAAGCTGCCCTTGCAGCCTTTCCTCCCCGCACCCCACCGGCATCCCCTGGGCTGCCCAATCAGCCTCCACCAGATTCCCAGGCAGGGGAGCCACGGGGGAATGTCCAGTGTTGGAGCTGGAAGCCAGGGACGCTGACTTTAGAACTGTCTGGTTGCTGTGGAGCCTCATGGAGTCTTCCCAGGTCTGTCTCCCTGTTTGAGGCTTGCACTCCAGAGGCCCCTCTGGGCAATAATGAACCACCGGGAGTGGTGCCGGGATCGCAGACAGAGATGGACTGCCTGGAGCAGGGTCACCAGGACCAAGGCAGTAACTCAGGTCTGTCAGCGACTTTGTCCACTTCGTCTGTCTCTCAGGCAATTCCTAGAGCTGTGGGAGGGCCCAGGACATGCCCACACCCAGCCACAGTGAGAATGAGGCTGGTTGCTCCTCACTTCTGTTAAATCAAACTAAATTTGGCCTGAGAAAGCCTCTGTACTCACATACTTGAGTTCTTACTTAGGAACAACAAGCTAACTTAGTACCTAAACAAACTGAAAACTCAACTCAGCAGTATGCTTCTGTAACAATGGCTGAGTCTCAGCCAGTCGCAGGCGGCCAGCTGTTCAGACCTTGTACCAATGAGGAAAACGCTGAGCTGTAACTAACCCAGCTGTTTCTGTAGCTCACAATTCCTGTATGTCACCTTCCTTTTTCTGTCCATAAATCTTATCTGACCATGTAGCAGCCCTGGAGTCTCTGAATCTATTCTGATTCTGGGGGCTATCAAATTCAGAAATCATTTTGGTTGTTTTTTTTCTTTTCTTTTCTTTTTTTTTTCAATTAAACTCTGTTAAATTTAATATGTCTAAAGTTTTTCTTTTAACAGATTTGGTGTCAGAAGTGAGAATACAGAGTAAAACTTCAGCAACCCCCAGGAACACCAGGGAACCAGACCAGATACCTGCGAAGCCAGCTGTGCCCACTGATTTCTTGTTTGTAACTGGAGGTCGTGGCTGAATTTTCTCTCAGATTCCAAGATCCAAGAATTTGTGTTCTCAGCTCTCCAAGTTTGTTTGAGCAATCTTTGGACTGGGCTGGGTTTGGGATTGGATTGGATTCAATAATCAACCGGATTAGATTCAGTTAGAGGCTGAGGGCCTCAGGTGGGTACCTTTTTGGTAATGAGTTCATCTCAATTCAAAGAGCCTGGGACTCCACATTCTGGGACTCCAGCTACTTTTATGTATAAAATTATGGGCCCAGAACATGTGCATTTTCAGAAAAAATGGGTTAACCTCACTGAGACAACTTAGAAAAGATAATGGGGAAGTTTTAATTTGGTTAAAATTATTTATTTGCAAGTCATATGAGAAAAAAGGAATCAGAATCCCACATAAAAACAATAGTATGTATCCTTTAATTAGTATAGGAAGATCTAAAAGACTGAACAAATCAAAAATTGCATCCGTAAAAGATTCTTTGCAAAAAGCAAGTGAAAATCTTAAACAACAGACTAAGGACATCATAAAAGAGGACTAAGGCCGAGCACAGTGGCTCATGTCTGTAATCCCAGCACTTTGGAAGGTCAAGGTGGGAAAATTGCTTGAGTCCAGGAGTTCGAGACCAGCATGGGCAACATAGTGAGACCTCATCTCTACAAAAACATAAACAAAATTAGCCAGGTATAGTGGTTTACACCTGTAGTCCTAGCTACTTGGGAGGCTGAGGTGGGAAGATTGCTTGAGCCCAGGAGGTTGAGGCTTCAGTGAGCCAAGATTGCACCACTACACTCCAGTCTGAGCAACAGAGTGAGATCCTGTCTCAAAATAATCATTAATAGTAATAACAATAAATTACAATAAATTATTTTTGTTGTTGTTTTTTTGAGATGGAGTTTTGCTTTTGTTGCCCAGGCTGGATGGAGTGCAGTGGCACGATCTCAGTTCACCACAACCTCTGCCTTCCGGGTTCAAGCAATTCTCCTGCCTCAGCCTCCCTAGTGGGCTGGGATTACAGGTGCATGCCACCATGCCTGGCTAATTTTATATTTTTAGTAGAGATGGGGTTTCACCATGTTGGTCAGACTGGTCTCAAACTCCCGACCTCAGGTGATCCACCTGCCTCAGCCTCCCAAATTGTTGGGATTACAGGCGTGAGCCACCACGCCCGGCCTATAATAAATTAATTTTTAAACTTTCCACTGGTAAGATACTTTGAAAAGAAACAAGGACTATGTTCTTACTGAACTAACCACAACTGTTTATTCTCTTTATCCATCCCCAACTAAATATTCTGAGTCCACTAACCTTGCTAAATTACCCTTTCACCCTGAAGAATATTGACAAAAGAGAAGGCAAACAGATGTCTTTACAAAGTAAGACCTCTGATCAGCCAGGCCTTCCTGCTGTAACCACTTTAACTCCATGATCTAAAATTGAGCTTAGAGCCATTGTAAAAGACTTCCCTGATGCAAGGAGAAACCCTCAAAAATTTACTGAGGAATTTAGAATCTTCCTAGGAATGGAGGATCCAGGACTCCTTGACCTTTACCAATTTATTCACATGATATTGGGACCTGGCAAATGGATGCCAGCAACAGAATGGAACACACATGAGGAGGATATTAAAGACCCCTCCAAGACCTCCTCATGGGAAGGGCCAAAAGGAGCATGAAAAAATGCTGAACCCCTTCTAGATTCAATTTCTAAGATTTTTCACACATTTTTGTCTTCTGGTTTGCATGATGGACCAATCACATTCACCAAAAATTGATTGGTCCATGATGCAATCCTGCAGACAAGAAAAAAAAAAGATGAACCAGTTTCACATTATAGAACTCACTTAGAAACACTATTTCAGAAACATTCTGGGCTCAACATATGGCAAGGAGCATTTCCTGCAGAGACTGAAACGGCATAAACTGTTCTATTTATAAGCAGATTTTGTCCTGAACTTAGCAGTTTAATTAAAAAACATAAACCTAGATGGGAAGTGACAGATATGACTGAATTGGTGGCTGTAGCTGAACATTTTGAAAGGGCTCTACAGGAAGAAAAAACCCAAAGATTAACAAGCCTATGTCCCTTCAACCTTCAAAAAGCTGCAACCTGTGAAGTTTTTTCAACCAAGAGGTCCTGAAACAAGAGGTCCCAAAGTATCTCCCTTTATTGCAAATGACTAGAAAAGAGACACTGGAAAAGAAATTCTCCATTTTTCTGACAGTCCACCAATAAGCCTCTTTCCTTTAGGCTAGAGAGAGCCCAAGAGATTTTAGCTCTCGTGATAATTGACCAGACTCTAAGAGAGTCCCCTGATAAAGTGCTGCCCATAACACCTCTAAATAAACATAGAGAAACAAGAGTTAGAATAAAGGAAATCTTGTACAATCCTGGTGGATACCAAAGCCTCCTATCTACCATAAAGCCACTTTAATAGATCAACAAATCGCTGAGAGTAAAAACGTTATGTTTTTTGCTGGGGGTTTTGAATGAAGTTCAAGAGGTTCCTATGTTTGAACTCGTTCAATGGACTTTGGGGCCATTTTCAGAAAAAACATACTTTTGTACTGTGGGATACTACTCCAGTAAACTTCCTAGGGCAAGACTTACTTTCAAAGCTAAAAGAATGCGGGCAAGATGGCGGATAGAAGGCAGGACTAGCTTGCAGCTCCGGCTCAGAGGAGACTCACCTCGTGAACTTTTTCTCCAAGAACTACTGCAGGACCATACCAGAAAAGCTCAGAGAATCCACAGACCCTTAGAAGGAACTAGATCACTGCTGCGGGGCCCCTGAGATGCCGGAAAACTGTGAGTCTGCTTGCTTTCTCAATGGGGAAGCTGGTGGTCTAGGGCAAGTTCTCAGCCCTGGTCACCACCTGTCTGTTAATAGACTCCATGCTGTTGGGGGGCCACAGTGGGAGTGAGACCAGCCTTTAGGACTGCAGGCTGCATGGGAGTGGGGTGAGGTCTGTGATTGCTGGCTTTCCCCCACTTCCCTGGCGACCAGTATGACTCAGGAGAGGCAGACATGCTCCCCATGGGAATACAAATCCATTGGACTGGGAACCACACCCCCATCTCCCACAACAGCCACAGCATGCCCCACCCAAGGAGAGTCTGAGCTCAGACATGCCTATCCCTGCCCCCACCTCGTGGTCTTTCTCCACCCAGCTGGTAGCAGAAGACAAAGATCATAATCTCTTTGGGAGCTCTATGGCCCTGCCCACTGCCTGAGAAACCTGCATACTTAACCAGGTGTCTCTAGGGCAAGTTTACATCCTCCCTATACGATTGCAGCTGATGTGCTCTTGAAAGCCCCACCTCGGGAGGCCGAGGCGGGCGGATCACGAGGTCAGGAGATCGAGACCATCCTGGCTAACACGGTGAAACCCCGTCTCTACTAAAAATACAAAAAATTAGCCAGGCGTAGTGGCGGGCGCCTGTAGTCCCAGCTACTCAGGAGGCTGAGGCAACAGAATGGCGTGAACCCGGGAGGCGGAGCTCGTAGTGAGCCGAGATCCCGCCACTGCACTCCAGCCTGGGCGACAGAGCGAGACTCCCTCTCACAAAAAAAAAAAAAAAAAAAAGAAAGCCCACCTCCTGGCCAACCAACACAAAACCAGTGCACTAAAGAAAAACACAACAAACGACCTACACAGAGTCCACGTCACTGCCCTGCTGCCTCCACTGGAGCAGGTGCTGGTATCTATGGCTGAGACAGGATCACATCACAGGACTCTGCAGACACTCCCCAGTGCCAGCCCAGAGCCCGGTAGCTCCACTGGGTGGTTAGAACCAGAAGAGCAAAAGCAATCACTGCAGTTCAGCCCTCAGGAAGCCTCATTCCTAGGGGAAGGGGGAGAACACTGCATCAAGGGGGCATCCCATGGGACAAAAGAATCTGAACAGCAGGCCTTGAGTCCCAGATCTTCCCTCTGACATAGTCAACCCAAATGAAAAGGAACCAGAAAAACAATTCTGGTAATATGAAAAAACAAGGTTCTTTAGCACCCACAAAAGATCAAACCAGCTCACCAGCAATGGATCCAAACCAAGATGAAATATCTGAATTGCCAGAAAAAGAATTCAGAATGTTGATTATTAAGCTAATCAAGAAGGCACCAAAGAAAGGTGAAGTCCAACTTAAAGAAATCAAAAATATGATGCAGGATATAAAATAAAAATTCTTCAATGAAATAGATAGCATAAATAAAAAACAATCACAACTTCTGAAAATCAATGACACACTTAGAAAAATGCAAAATACACTAGAAAGTCTCAGCAATAGAATTGAGCAAGCAGAAGAAAGAACTTCAGAGCTCAAAGACAAGGCTTTCAAATTAACCGAATCCATCAAATACAAAAAAAAAAAAAAAAGAATTTTAAAAAATGAACAAAGCCTCCAAGAAGTTTGGGACTATGTTAAATGCCCAAACCTAAGAATAATTCCTTGGTGTTCCCAAGGAAGAAGAAAAATCTAAAAGTTTGGAAAACATATTTGAAGGAATAATCAAGGAAAACTCCCCCAGCCTTGCTAGAGATCTAGACACCCAAATACAAGAAGCTCAAAGAACACCTGGGAAATTCATCACAAAAAGATCATCACTAGGCCAGGCGCAGTGGCTCATGCCTGTAATCCTAGCACTTTGGGAGGCTGAGGCGGGTGGATCACCTGAGGTGAGGAGTTCAAGACCAGCTTGGCCAATATGATGAAACTCCATCTCTACTAAAAATATAAAAATTAGCTGGGCATGATGGCTGGCACCTATAATCCCAGCTACTTGGGAGGCTGAGGCAAGAGAATTGCTTGAACCCAGGGAGCAGAGGTTGCAGTGAGCCAAGATCGCACCACTGCATTCCAACCTAAGTGAAAGAGCAAAACTCTGTCTACAAAAAAAGAAAAAAATATATATCATTGCTTAGGCACATAGTCATCAGATTATCTAAAGTCAATATGAAGGAAAGAATCTTAAGAGCTATGAGGCAAAAGCATCAGGTAACCTATAAAGGAAAACCTATCAGATAAATAGCAGATTTCTCAGCAGAAACCCTACAAGCTAGAAGGGATTGGGGTCCTATTTTTAGCTTCCTTAAACAAAACAATTATCAGCCAAGAATTTTATATACAGTGAAAATAAGCTACATAAATGAAGGAAAGATACAGTCTTTTCCAGACAAACAAATGCTGAGAAAATTAGCCACTATCAAGCCAGCACTGCAAGAACTGCTAAAAGGAGCTCTAAATCTTGAAACAAATCCTCAAAACACCTCCTTAAAGCATAAATCTTTAAGATAGAACCTCCTTAAAGCATAAATAGAACCTCCTTAAAGCATAAATAGAACCTCCTTAAAGCATAAATCTCACAGACCTATATAACAATAACAGTGAAACAATAACAATGAAAAAAAACCAAAGTATTCAGGCAACGAATAGCACAATGAATAGAATAGTACCTCACATCCCAATGCTAACATTGAATGTAAACAGCCTAAATGCTCCACTTAAAAGATACAGAATGGTAGAATGGATAAGAATTTACCAACCAAGTTTCTGCTGTCTTTGGGAGACTCACCTAGCACGTAAAGACTCACATAAACTTAAGGTAAAGGAGTGGAAAAAGATACTCCATGCAAATGGACCCCAAAAGCGAGCAGGAGTAGCTATTCTTATATCAGACAAAAGAAACTTTAAAGCAACAGCGGTTAAAAAAGACAAAGAGGAACATTATATAATGATAACAGGACTAGTCCAATAGAAAAATATCACAATTCTAAATATACATGCACCAAACACGAAAGCTCCCAAATTTATAAAACAATTACTACTAGACCTAAGAAATGAGATATACAGCAACACAATAGTGAGGGACTTTAATACTCCACTGACAGCACTAGACAGGTCATCAAGACAGAAAGTCAACAAAGAAACAATGGACTTATACTATACCCTACAACAAATGGACTTAACAGACATTTGCAGAACATTCTACCCAACAACTGCAGAATATACATTCTATTCATCAGCACATGGAACATTCTCCAAAGCTAAAAGCATGTATATATTCTTCTCAGAAAGAGAAATAATCTTAGAGTTTCCTGACTCTTCTGCACCAGAATTGTTATGCTCTCTATGGGCAGAAATTGATAAGATTAAAAATCAGGACTGTAATGCCCCTGATGTTTCTAAAATACCTGTATGTTTATGGGCCTCTTCCTCAACTGATACAGGAAGGATTGAAAATGTGGAACCTACAAAAATCCAAAAGATTATTCTAAACCTTTGCCTAAATTACTCCAATAGTCACTAAAACCCAAAGCATTTCAAGGGCTCTCACCAATTGTGGAAGATTTAATTAAACAAGGACTTAGACAATTGTATGTACCAGTGCTGGTAATTCTACGATCCTACCAGCTGAAAAACCAGAGTCCAGAGCAAGATGGCCGACTAATATACCCTAGCACTGGTCCCCTTCGTGAAGACGGCCAGAACAACGAATAAACAACTACATGTTAGTGAAAACAACTGAGAGAGCATGCTGGAGTGCATCAGAGGAGTAACAGAAACCCCAGTGAGCTCAGAAACTTGAGATGGACACATAAAGGATGGAAGGAGGCCAGGTGCGGTGGCTCATGCCTGTAATCCCAGCACTTTGGGAGGCTGATCACGAGCTCAGGAGATCGAGACCATCCTGGCTAACATGGTGAAACCCCGTCCCTACTAAAAATACAAAAAATTAGCCGGGCGTGGTGGCGGGCACCTGTGGTCCCAGCTACTCGGGAGGCTGAGGCAGGAGAATGGCGTGAACCCAGGAGGCGGAGCCTGCAGTGAGCGGAGATCACGCCACTGCACTCCAGCCTGGGCGACAGAGCGAGACTCTGTCTCAAAAAAAAAAAAAAAAAAAAGAATGGAAGGAAATGCCAAGCCTCCACCACTGCATCTCCCAGCTGGGGTCAGCTGAAAACCAGGAGGAACTTCTTTCTATGGTGAGGAGTTAAGCATGAGGATCCCAGCAACCCTCATCACCACCTTTGACACCTACAAACCTCACCACTGGAGTTCCTTGCATTCATCACAGGCACTAAGCCCAGCTCAAGGAGCTGCCTGGAGTTCACATAGCTGTGCTTCCTCCCAGAGAAGGTAGTTGATACTGTGCTCGCCCCCGTGTGGCCCATGCAGCTACTGCACTATGTCATCTTGGAACTGGGACTAAAGCTGGAGTATTATGCTGCAGGCGTAAGTAGTAGCCATGGCTTCCCTTTATCCCTGAGGCTAAGCTGACAATGAACTATCCCTGGCCACTGACCCAACAGCCCCATGCTGAGCTGCAAGCAGCTGTTATACTCTTCCCAAGGAAGCTAAGCAGAAATGCAGCTGTTCCACCTACCCCTCCCTCCAGCCCCTTGGGCCAGAATTGAAGCAGTAACCTTCCTCCTGGGAAAACAGTAGCTGGGCCACATAAAGAAGTCACATCTCCCCAGTGCCTAAGTTAAAGCAGTGTCCCACATCCCAGGAAATGGTGCCCCAGCCCCCTGGAGGGGTCACACACCCCAGTACCTAAGCTGAAGTGATGCCCTGCATCTCAGGGAGACAGTGCCTAGGCTTCCCAGAACAGTTATGCTCCCATCACCCCAGGCTTGAGCTGAAATGACACATAGTCCCCTGGAGAATATGTGCCTTGGTCAAGCTGAACAGCTGCATATCCCAGGGTTGAGCTGATGTGGTACCCTACATCCCAGGGAAACAGATCAGTGGCTGAGCAGAGACACCCTATTCTACAGGCCAAACAACTTTAGTAGCCTGTTTTCCTGCAGTGAGACTAGCTCCTTAGAGCCTGAGCTGCTGAGACAGTCCTTTCCCTGAGGAGTGGAGTCATCTCTGTGTTGTTCCCTGCCCCTCCAGAGCCCAAATGACAGATGTGCTTTACCATTCTGGAGCCCTTGCTGCCGTTGCCCCTGGCCTCACAGAGTCTGGGATACTGCCAAGCCCCACCATCCTAGGGTCTAGAGTCACTACTACATGGTGCTTCGTCCTCTGGAACCTGAGTTGTCACTGAGCTCATTGACTCTGGTTCCTGAATTGCAGCTTTACTCTACTCCCCAGGCCCATACCGCCAGAGCAACTCTTCTTCCCTGGAGTCAGGCCGGTGCTATGCCCTTCCCCCCAGGGGTAGAATCACAGGCATAACTTGCCCGCCTGGACCTGAGCTTCCAGGAAGTTACTGTAAGTCAGATATCCTGACACTATAGGCAATCTACATCCAACTCTGCCTCAGAAAACAAACCTGCACCCCAAGACCTGGGTGCCACAATAGGTTTGTGAGACCCTGAGCCTAGTACCTGACCCTACAGCCACTCAGAGCACATGCACCTAGAACCCAGTGCCTCTGCACCTGCCTGTAGACTATGTCAGACCTGATACTAAGAGTGATCTCCTCAGCTAAGTCTCTCCATTGTGGAGAAAATGAGACTAGGAGGACCCTAAAAGCCCTTGACACCAAGGACATTCACAACCTACACTGCTGCTGCCACAGACTTCTACAGCACAGGCTACTAAGGTACCCACAGCTATTGCTGTCATAGAACGCAGCTGAAGAAACTCCACAGAAGCTAAACCACTGCACCTATCTAGAACTAGAGTCATCACACCTTTCCCAACTGGCACACTAAAACCCAAAACTGCAAGTGAAAGTCCTTCTCTACAAAAGCCACACTAGGAAGTTTGGAAGAGCTGATTTTTCCACCAGATGCACAGACGTCAATGTAAGGACAAAAGAATCATGAAAGGATACAGAAATATGACACCACTAAAGTAACGTAACAATCTACCAACAGACCCCAATGAAAAGGAAATCAACAAACTATTGGGATAAAAGAATCCAAAATAATGATCTTTAGGAAACTCAATGAGATACAAGAAAATATAGATGATTCGATGAAATTAGGAAAACAATTCGCAATACACATGAGAAACTCAAAAAAGAGATGAAAATCATAAAAAAGAACCAAACAGAAATCTTGCAGCTAAAGAATTCAATGAGTGAAATAAAAAAATACAATAGAGTGTTTCAACAGCAGACTTGATCAAGCAGAAGAAAGAATCCCTTAACTTGAAGATAGGTCATTTGAAATTATCCAGAAAAAGAAGTTAAAATGAAAAAGAATGTAGAAAACCTACAAGATTTATATGATAGCATTAAGTAAACAAATATGCATTTTATGAGAATACCAGAAGGAGAAGATAAAAGGTGTAGAAAATTTGTTTAATTAAATAATAGCTGAAAACTTCCCAAGTCTGGGAACAAATATGAACATCCAGACCCAAGAAGCTCAAAGGTCCCCAAATAGATTCAACTCAAAAAGATCCCCTCTAAGGTACATTGTAGTCAAACTATCTTAAGTCAAAGACAAAAGAATTCTAAAAACAGTAAGAGAAAAGTGTCATCATATACAAGACTGAAGCAGATTTCTCTGCAGACAACCTTGTAGTCCAGGAGAGAATGGGATGATACAGTTTCTTTTCTGGTAGAAAAAAAAAATTGCCAACCAAGAATACTATACCCAGCAAAGCTATCCTGCAGAAATGAGGAAGAAATAAAGTTTCTCCCAAAAAAGCAAAAACTAAGGGAATTAATCACCACTATGCTGGCCCTACAATAAATGTTTAAAGGAGTCCTACATCTGGAAATGAAAAAATGATATCTACCATCATGAAAACACACAAAAGTGTGTAAAACTCACTGGTAGAGGAGATGCACAAATGAGAAAGAGAAAGGAGTCAACTGTTAGAATCAACTGTTACCACTATAGAAAATCACCAAACTGCAATAAAAATAAGAGGAAGAAAGGAACAAAGGATGTACAAAACAATCAGAAAACAATATAGAAAATGATAAGAATAAATCCTCACCTATCAATAACAACCTTGAATGTAAATGGATTAAATTCCCCACTTAAAAGATATAGACTGGCTGAATAGATTTTTTACATGATCCAACTATATGCTGCCTACAAAAAAACTCACTTTACCTGCATAGACACATATAGATTGAAAGTGAAGGAATGGAAAAAGATATTCCATGCAAACAAAAGTCAAAAGCAACCAGTAGTAATTATATCAGAAAAAAACAAACTTTAAATAAAAAAACTGTAGAAAGAGACTAGGTCACTATATAATAATAACATAACCAATTTGGTAAGAGAATACAAAACATTTTCTAGGATAGACCACATGTTAGTTCACAAAACAAGTCTCAACAAATTTAAAAGAAGTGAAACGATACTCTTTTTTTGTTTTAAGAGATGGGGTCTTGCTATGTTTCCCAAGCTGGAGTGCAGTTGCCATTCAAAGGCACGATCATAGTACACTTTAAGCTATGCCACTGAAGTGGGTGGATCCTGGTTGGTTAGGGGCTTTTCTATGTAGGAAGGCCAATACTGTAGCAATAGCTAATAAATTATTAGAAAATGTGTTTCCTTTATGAGGCATTCTTAGAGAAATCTCCAGTGATAGGTAAACTCACTTTATGGGGCAAGTTATAATGCAGTTTAAAAAGGTTTTATAGACACATTGGCACTACCATTGTGTCTATCACACTCAGTCTTCTGGAAAGATTGAAAGAACAAATGGCAGGCCAGGTGCAGTGGCTCACACCTGTAATCCCAGCACTTTGGGAGGCCAAAGCAGGCAGATCACAAGGTCAGGAGATCAAGACCATCCTGGCCAACATGGTGAAACCCTGTCTCTACTAAAAATACAAAAATTAGCCAGGTGTGGTGGCAGACACCTGTAATCCCAGCTACTTGGGAGGCTGAGGCAGGAGAATCGCTTGAACTCCGGAGGCAGAGGTTGCAGTGAGCAGAGTTTGCACTACTGCACTCCAGCCTGGTGATAGAGCAAGACTCCGTCTAAAAAAAAAAAAAAAAAACAAATGGCATCTCAAAACCGAAATTGGAAAAGTGAACTGAGTCACTTGGCCAAAATGTACTACTATTAGCTTTAATGGCAACCTGATCCACTCCCACTGGAAACCATAAGTTGACCTCCTATGAAATAGTCACTGGAAGGCCTATGCCCCTAATAATAGAACTTCATGCATCTCCCACTCTCCATTTAGTTTGACTAAATACTGCAAGGCTTTAATGCGTTATGCCAAAGCGTATCTTCCCTAGGTAAAGGAAGTTTTTTGTGATCCACTGACTGAGGACAATCAAACCATTCATGATCTAGGACCTGGTGATTGGGCCTTCTGAAAACAACATCAGAGGAACACCGCTCTTGAACCCCCTTGAAAGGAACTGTACCAAGTTCTTCCACCACCCATACTTTAGTGAAACTTCAGGGCTTTGAAACTTGGGTTCACATCTCACAACTCAAAAGAACCGCTTCAGACTTTTAGAACTGTATACCTGTTGAAGACTTTAAGATAAAGCTATTAATAGAAAAATTTCTTCCAGAAGCAGATGACATCCTAGACTTGAACAGCTTTCCTAAGATAACAGATCAAGACTTTTATGCCGTCATTAAAGCTTTGTGCTTTTTCTTTTTTCCTCATTTCCTTCTGTCCTAATCCTTTCCTTTTGCCTGTGGTAAAATCCATGGGACCATAAGAAGTGGATGGATTCAACTCTAGCTTATGCTCTAGCACAAAGCCAGATCATGGCTGGGTACAATGGTGCATGCCTGTAGTCCCAGCTCCTCAGGAGGCTGAGACAGGTGGACGCTTGAATTTAGGAGTTTAAGTACAGCCTGGGCAATATGGCAAGACCTTGTCTCCAAAAAAAGAAAAAGAAAAAGGAAGGAAGGAGGGAAGGAAGGAAGGAAAGAAGGGAAAAGAAAAGAAGAGAAAAAAGAAAAGCCGAGCAATTGTTGGGTTTGTGGGCTAATGCCAAGGTCAGAAAACAGTTTCACTGATGTCAGTGCCTCTCCATGTTCCCAATGAGAGTCACTCTGAAATTTCAAAGGAAGAATGGAAAGCTATCCTTGATATTTTAAAGATGACTGCTACTTACTTCACTGCACTTGCTAGAAGCAACACTCTAGGTCAAGCACGGTGGCTCATGCCTGTAATCCCAACACTTTGGGAGGCCGACGGGGGGGGCGGATCACTTGAGGCCATGAGTTCGAGACCAGCCTGGCCAACATGGCGAAACCCCGTCTCTACTAAAAATACAAAAATTAGCCAGGTGTGGTGGCATGTGCCTGTAATCCCAGCTACTAGGGAGGCTGAGGCAGAGGATCACTTGATCCCGGGAGGCGGGGGTTGCAGCGAGCTGAGATCATGCCACTGCACTCCAGCCTGGGAGACAGAGCAAGACTCTGTCTCAAAAAAAAAAAAAAAAAAAAAAAAAGAAAGAAAGAAAGAAAGAAAGAAACGAAACAACACTCTAACTTTTCCCATTAATAAAATGATCACTACCAAATATAGAAAACCTGTCTAAGTAATGCCTGAAAAAGAATACTGTGCTTCCAGGCATCATGCACAGAAGACCTGGGAATTACCTATGTGGGCACAGGTATTGTTTGTATCATGTAACCAGATTAAAGTCAGTAGGATCCTTTTTTACTAAAGGTGGTTATACACCCTTATAGCATGTTATTAAAGGACTACAAAAAGTAAAATGTTCACAGGAACTTGTGTAGGAGGTATGCGGATTCATGGGTGAACAAACTCAACCGACCCTTGCTCCCGCACAACTAAGTGGCCCTCTTTTCCAATCGCTGGGGGCGTATACTGGGTCTGTGCGGTATGGTCATTCTGTTCTGCCTCCTCACTGGTTTGGATCTTGCTTTTTGGCTGGCTCCCTTCTGCCTTTCAAATAGCTTCCTCTGAATGTTCCTGTAGTAGCTTCTATGATCAAAGGCCAAAATGGTCGATAATCAAAATTAGCAACTTTGAAACTGATGAAGATAAGCTAGTTTCCACTGAGGAAAGAGTCCAGTGGGATTCCTGGGGGGCCACTTTCAGCAGTAGTGAGGTACCAGAAGAATGGAATTTAAAGCTAATCCATAAATTAAGAAAAATCTTGGATTTTGCAGCGAATCAGACTTCCTAGGGTTTCAAACAAGTAGAAGTCACTCTGAAAATAAATAACATATGCGTTCAACAAAACCACTCAATGGAACATCACGTAGCTTAAGTTCCCTTTTTATTTAAGTTGGGGGCTTTTGTTTGCTATTGAGCAAAACTGAATGTTTTACCTATTTCTCCCTTGATTTTTTTATTACAGAAAGCTATATTTAAAAGGGGGCTGATACTGCTGTTTTCTAAGATACTGCCACCAGATACGTTAAGGAAATCTCTCAAGAGAAAGGAACAGATGACATGTCTATGGGAGCAACTGACAGTTGGTTTGTAAGCATCCCGAATGGTGAATGGCAAGCTTGGCTTTTTCCAAGGTTTTCTAAAGTATAAATTTCTTCCCTTAGGTCTCCAGGTTATTATGACTTGTGTTACCAGGTAACAACAAAAATGGCCTTTTAAAATCAGGCCATTTTACAGCAAACTATAGTTCTTAATCATCACCAAATCCTGCACCAAGGACTATGCCCAACTAGAGTCAAATATTGTTAAACTGCCTATATTGTCTGAACTTTGACCTGTTTGATTTGGTTAGGTTCGTTGAGTTCATTTCTTAGAACTTGTTGAGGAGTACACTTTGGACTTGTTTGTTTGTTTGCTTGTTTGTTTTAAGAGGTAGTGTCTGTGTATGCTGCCCAGGCTGGATTCAAACTCCTGGGCTTAAAAGATCCTCCTGCCTCAGCCTCTCAAGTAACTGGGACTACAGGCTCATACCACGGCAACCAGCTGGTCTTTTCCTATTATTTTCTTGATCGTCATAATAGTCCCTTGATATGGTTTGGCTCTGTGTTCCCACCCAAATCTCACCTTGAGTTGTTATAATCCCCACATGTTGTGAGAGGAACCTGGCGGAAGGTAATTGAATCATAGGGGCAGGTTTTTCCCATGCTATTCCATTGATAGTGAACAAGTCTCATGTTCTCCCTCACAAGCTTTCTTGCCTACCACCATGTAAGATGTCCCTTTGCTCTTCCTTCATCTTCCTACATGTTTGTGAGGCCTCCCCAGCCATGTGGAGCTGTGAGTCCCTTAAACTTCTTTCCTTTATAAATTACCCAGTCTTGGGTATGTCCTTTTAGCAGTGTGAGAACAGACTAATATATCCCCTGGGGCACGGCATCATCTCAAGTCTTAAATGTTTTCTTTTTTTTTTTTTTTTTTTTGAGATGGAGTCTCACTCAGTCACCCAGGCTAGAGTGCAATGGCGCGATCTTGGCTCACTGCAACCTCCACCTTCCAGGTTCAAGCAATTCTCCTGCCTCAGCCTCTCGAGTAGCTGGGATTACAGGCGTGTACCACCACACCTGGCTAATTTTTGTATTTTTAGTAGAGACGGGGTTTCACCATGTTGCCCAGGCTGGTCTTGAACTTCTGACTTCAAATAATCCACCCGCCTCAGCCTCCCAAAGTGCTGGGATTATAGGCGTGAGCCACTGCACCCAGCCACTCAAGTTCTTATGTATGAACTGCAAACTAACTTAGTATTAAACAAACTGAAAACCTAATTTAGGGGTGAGCTTCTGTAACAATAGCTAAGTCTCAACCAATCACAACAGCCATGCATTAGTCAATCACAGGCGGCCAGCTGTTCAGACCATGTTCAAATAAGGCGAATACTGTGCTGTAACCAATGCAGCTGTTTCTCTACCTCACTTCTATTTTCTGTCCTTTGCTTTTCTTCTTCTGCCATAAATTTATCTGCCCATACAGCAGCCCTGAAGTCTCTCTGAATCTGTTCCGATTCTCAGGACTGCCAGATTCATGAATCATTTTTTTTTCTTTTTCTTGCTCAGTTAAACTCTGTTAAATCTAATTTGTCTAAAGTTTTTCTTTTAACCCTGCCAAGTAGCTCTTTCCATCTGGTTCTTGTCTCATGATGTAAGTGTTTCTCTGCCTTTTCATCTCTGAAACAGAGTCACCTGGCATTGGTAATATTCTGTTCTGATCACCTCTAATGGGAAACTAGCTGTAAAGATGCTGTTTACTATTACAGTCAGAAATTCACATCGTTTACTGTTTTGCTTTTGTGTTATGTTTTAAAGATAACATCGTATGGCCTTCTTTCTGAAGGGCCTGAAGAAGCCTTTGGACCAAAGCAATAAAATTCTGACCTTCAAAAAAGATTATATCACATAATTTTCTACCTTTAAAAATTGTATAACATTTTTTATTCTAAAATAAAAAGCATAGGTACACAAACCTAAGCTTTATTCCCAAAAAAGATGTTTTCTAAGGGAATATATTCAGGTTACAAAATGCTATTTTTAGGGAGCTAAATGATAAGAACTTATGGACACAGAGAAGGAAACAACAGATACTGGGGCTTACTCAAGGCGGGAGGGTGGCAGGAGGGAGAGGAGCAGAACAGGTAACTATCAGGTACTGAGCTTGATACCTGGATGATGTAATAATATGTACACCAAAGCCCCGTGACAGGTGTCTGTCTATGTAACAAACCCTCAAATGTACCCCTAAACCTAAAATAAAAATGTTGTTTTAAATGCTATTTTTTTCTTCAATGTATTTAGCTATTTTAGTGATTCCCAAATGATTTATACTCGATTGCTCATTACATGATAGATTGTGGGGTCAGTGAAAAAAAAAATTAAGTTAGAAGCTCTTATTTTCTTTGTTTTGTGTGTGTGTGTTTTTGTTGTTGTTTGTTTTGTTTTGAGATAGAGTCTGGCTCTGTTACCCGGGCTGGAGTGCAGTAGCATGATCACAGCTCCCTACAACCTCCGCCTCCTGGGTTCAAGTGATTCTCCTGCCTCAGCCTCCCAAGCAGCTGGGACTACAGGTGCCACCACGCCCGGCTAGTTTTTGTATTTTTTTGTAGAGATGCAGTTTCACCATGTTAGCCAGGCTAGTCTAGAACTCCTGGCCTCAAGTGATTCACCCACCTCAGCCTCCCAAAGTGCTAGGATTACAGGCGTAAACCACCGCACCCGATCTGGAAGATTCATTTCACAAAAATTTTAACTTAGAGTTTACGTAATTTAAAAAAATAATTGAAGAGCATCTCTATTCTATAGGCAAATCAACAGTTAATAGAGCCCTCAGTATGTGTCACAATAACTATAGCTTAGATACACCTCACTATATCTAAAACATGTATTTAATTTATAGGAAAAAAAATCATGAAAAATGAATTCAGGAGGAAGACCATAACTTAAAACAAGGTGAACAGTGATGATTCAGGGAAGAAAGAGGATGTCTGTGGTCTGTTCATCCCTTTCCTCTATACCAAGATGGCCCCTTCAGCTTTGCTTATAATAAAGAGAAAACAACCAAATACTTTTGAAGAATAGGCCAATAATACTAAATAGTCATTAAAAAGAAGGTATGTGCTAATATAAAAAGTATCATATAAAAAGCCCTTCCAGATAAATTGTGGGTTTTGTGTTGTTTTTATAGATTTTTTAATTTTTTTTGTAGAGAGGTCCCACTATGTTGCCCAGGCTAGTCTTGAACTCCTGGGCTCAAGCTCCTGCTTTGGCCTCCCAAAGTGCTAGGATCATAGGTGTGAGCCGCCACACCCAGCCCCAGATAAATTGTTGGGGAATTTTTAGAAAAATCCAGAATACGCCTGTAATCCCAGCACTTTGGGAGGCCGAGGCAGGCAGATCACAAGGTCAGGAGACGGAGACCATCCTGGCCAACGTTGTGAAACCCCGTCTCTACAGAAATACAAAAAATTAGCCAGGCGTGGTGGTGTGCACCTGTAGTCCCAGCTACTCGGGAGGCTGAGGCAAGAGGCATCGCTTGAACCTGGGAGGCAGAGGTTGCAGTGAGCCGAGATCGTGCCATGGCACGCCAGAACCTGGCAACAGAGCGAGACTCCATCTCAAAAAAAAAAAAAAAAAAAAGAAAAGAAAAAGAAAAATCCAGAATATCATCCATTTTCTATTTAAAAAGGGCTGTTGTGTGTGTTTATCTGTGGGCACCAGGGTTGTAGGTCGAAGTAATAATCTGGCCTACGGCCATACCACCCTGAACGTGCCCGATCTCGTCTGATCTTGGAAACTAAGCAGAGTCGGGCCTGGTTAGCACTTGGATGGAAATAGTAATCTGCTTGTTTTTTCTGTGTGTTTGCCTCCTCTCTCAATGGTGCCCCAAGGGCTGGGTGGCAGTGTTTTCTCCTTCAGCCCATGCCTAAGCAGGAACAATGATTTAAAATCCCTCACTAGAGAAAATTTCCTGTATGCATATTTGTAGAATCAGTTCTTCCTCTCCCAGAAGTAATGTAAGACTGTGCCTGTGGAAAGGAAGAAAAAGGCAGAGTGGTGCCAGATGAAGGGCAGAGAAGATGGATGAGGAATCAATGAAGTGTGAGGGAGGAGACCAGGGAGAGGATGAGTTTCCATCAAGTGTGGCTCCATCACTAACTCCTCAGCTGACATCCACCAGCTGGTCAACAGCTCTAGGCACTTCTAAGACTCCTGAACAGAGGAGAAATGAACAGTTGGGATGAACTAACTAGATTATGCTGCAGTAACACCCTCCAACTCTCAGTGGTTTAAAACAATAAAATAAAAGAAAACCCTGTATATCTCTACTCACAACATCAAATGTGTGGATTTTCCACACCAAGCAATTCTCCAACTCTCCTGACAGCAACTGGATGTCCTACAATTCAATTGTGATATTATCCACACACAGTGGGCACAGACGCCACACATTACATGCTCAGTTACACAAGTCCCGGGCCTCTGCTACTTCTGACCAACTTGGCAAAAAATCAGGGGTTTCCACAGCCACCTCCTCGTGTTTGATAATCTGCTTTAATGACTCACAGAACTCAAGAAAACACCTTATTTATGTGTGCTTTTATTTATTTACTTAAATTTTGTAGAGACAGGGTCTCACTCTGTCACCCAGGCTAGTCTCAAACTCCTGAATTCAAGGGATCCTTCCACCTCAGCCTCGTGAGTAGCTGAGACTACAGGTGTGCACTACCACTCCCAGCTCCTAACTTATGATTACTAGTGTATTATAAAAGATACAAATGAACAGTCCAGATGAAGAGGTACACAGGGAAAGGTGGGAAAGAGGCATGGAGCTTCCCTGCCCTTTCCAGATACACCACCCTCCCAGCACCTCCATGCCTGGAAGCTCTCCAAACCCCCTCATTTAGGGTTTTTATGGAGTTTCCATTATGTAAACATGATTGAGTCAATCACTGGCCACTGGTGATCAGGCTCAATTCCCATCCCCTCTCCTATCCCTGGAGGTGGGGTGCCTGGAGCGGAAAGTTCCACCCCTCTAATCACATGGTTGCTACCTCTGGCAACCAGCCCCTCTCCTCTTAGAGTCACCCCAGTAGCATAAGCTCATGGTTGAAAGGGCTTATTATGAATAGAAAAAGATGCTCCTCCTACCAGTACCACTCAGGAAGTTACAAGGGAACTAGGGACTAACACCAAATACATATTTCTTATTACATCACGATATCACAAAAGGTTAATTTTGCTCACACTATATGCCCATAAAGGGTTAGCTGCGGGCTGGCTCTACTCCATGTCATTCGTTTTTTTGAAGACAGAGTCTCACTCTGTCGCCCAGGCTGGAGTGCAGTGGCGTGATCTTGATTCACTAAAACCTCCACCTCCCGGGTTCAAATGATTCTCCTGCCTGAGCCTCTCAAGTAGCTGGGATTATAGGTGTGTGTGTCACCATGCCTGGCTAACTTTTGTATTTTTAGTAGAGATGGGGTTTTCGCCATGCTGGCCAGACTGGTCTCAAACTCCTGACTTCAGGTGATCCACCAATCTTGTCCCCAAGATTCAGAACATTTTTTTCCAGGCCAAAGGCCAGAACCGTGACATTTACTATGTCATCCCTGACCTTATAGCAGAGAAATAACTATGGAGACCATGATCTTCACTTGGGGCAAGAAAGTCCAACATACTAATTCCCTGAGAAGTCTCAGATGCCCATCTGGGATCACCCCCCACTACCATCCCGGGGCCCATGAAAGGGCTGGGGGCAGGAGAGGAGCTCGGGGAAGGTGTGCCAGGTAATTTGAGGGGGTAAGAAGCTGCCATCACAGAGTCCTGCTTTGGGTACTTTCTTCCACCTTGGTGCTTTCTTCCACACAAGAGGAGTGGGAGCCGAAAGGCAGTTGGTCTGGGGAAGGATGGGAAGATTGAATAATGAAGTGAGACTCGGTCTAACAGGTGCATGACCCAGAACCTAGCCTGTACCTGGTTCAGCCACCCACTCTGCCTCCCACCTCCAGGCATGTGTCCATGACAGCTAGAGGGGACTGCTCAAGACATGGAAGATGTCCTTCCTCCTTAGAGAACCTTCTCAGGACAGGGCCTTGGAGCCAGGGCCATGGGGAAGATGAGCACGAGTGCAAGTCTTAAAAATAGAAACGTGAGTCATTCTCTCATCATTCAACAAATATTTCATTATTTTGATTCACCAAGTATCATTGATCAGCAAGGAGCCCAGAACCATGATGGGAACTGAGGGATGTACAGACGAATCTGAGAACGAGCCCCCACGCTCACCAAACCTTCAGCCCAGAGGGCAATATGACACACAGCCAAACCCAGCATCCAGGACCCAGAAAAGCTCACAAATGGCACAGGAGCAGTTTGGTGGGAGGCCAAAGGAGGAAAGGACTAATTCCTGCTGGAGACCCCAGAGCCTTTCCTGGCGAATGTTCAGCCAAATTCATGGCCTCTTTTGAGAGGAGCTGGATAGGACCAGTCTCTCTTGGAATCTTTTTCTCTAAGGCAGGCTGTCCTGCTGGGAGGAGAAGGAATGTGAAGATTTTCCTAGAATTTCACTGGCAGCTGTGTTCTGGGGAACAGGGCTAATAAAGTGTTTATAATTAAGGAGCGTGATATAACAAAAAATAAGTATTTGGCTCATGTCCCTAGTTCTTCATACACTGTTCCTAAAACCCTTGGAATCTCCATAATGATAAGAGTGACTTTTGTATGCTAATGAGATGACAGGTGGCTGAGGGCCCCTGGATAGTTTCAGGATGGGGTCTCCTTGCCAGAAAGCCCAAGGCATGATTAGAGGGTTGGGACTTTCAGCCTCATCCCTAAACCTCTGGGGAGGAGATAGGCGCTGGAGAGTGAGTCCAGCCAATGGCCAATGATTTAGTCAATCATGTCTATGTAAAGAAACCTCCATAAAGTCCCTATATGACAGGATTTGGGGAACTTCCAGATTGGTGAACGCCTTGAGGTGCCGAAAGCGTGGCTACTGGGAAGAGGGCGTGGAAGCTCTGTGCCCTTCCCTCATGCTCTGCCTGGTTCAGCTCTTCCATCTGGCTGTACATGAGTGGTGTCTTTTGAAATTAACTGGTAATAGTGAGTTAAATGGATTCCTGAGACATCTGAGACATTCTTGCAAATTTTCAAGCCTGAAGAGGGAGCCTGTGGAATTCCCCAACTTTGTAGCCAAGTCAGACAGAAATGTGGGTGACCCGGGCACCCAATACTTGCAACTAGTGTCTGAAGTGAGGGCAGTCTTGTGGGACTCAGTCCCTAAACCTGTGAAGTCTAGAATTGAATTGAACTGTTGGACATTCAGTTTGTGTCAAAGAAATGGAGGATTCATTGATGTAAGCAAAAAACCTGCCAAGACAAAGGTTCATACAGCAGGTGTTGCCACCTTTTCCACGTCAATGAGCAAAGCCACGTGCAGGCTGCCCAGGCCCAGTTTTCAGGAGTGCAGACACTGAACAGCGTCATCAGCCCCTCTCTGAGTCACATCCAGGGGTGCACCCAGGAGCTGCACTCCCAGCCTCTTTCTAGGCCCTGTGTCTTTCCATCCTCTGCCATTTTCTCCCCCGGGCAGCCAGATTTCTCTGCTCCTTTGTCTCTATTTAGTCCCATAACCAGGTTAGCCTTCTGGGGTTAGCTCCAACTTTTCATCCTTTCTTCTAGAAATGTGACTGTCCTCTCTTCTACTCAAATCTGATAACCTCTCCTTCCCAGGAATATGTCTCTTGCTTCTTTCCCTATTCAAACCAATAGGTAGCTTCAAACAGAAACTAAAGTACCATAGTCTCCTCTTATCCAGTGTTTCAGTTAGCTGTGATCAACAGAGGTCTGAAAATATTAAATGGAACATTCCAGGAATAAACAATGTATAAGTTCTAAATTGCACACTGATCTGATAGCATGACAAAATCTCTCACCATCCCACCTCATACCGCCAAGGACATGAACCATCCCTTTGTCCAGCATATCCATCTTGTATATGCTCCCCATGTGGGAGTCACTTAGCAGCCGTCTTGATTATCAGGTCTAAAAAACATAGTATGTATAGGGTTTGGTACTACCCATGGTTTCAGGCATCCACTGGAGGTCTTGGAATGTATTCCAGAAGGATAAGCAGAGGACTTCTACTATTGTTTCTTCCTGAACAAGAAGGCTTATCAGAGCCGAAATTTTTCTAGTTGCAAGAAATAGGAGCCTGTTCTAATTCACCTGAGTTATGATGGGAAATTTATTTCAAGGTATCACATTGTCTCAGACAATCAAAAACCAAGAAAGATCATTAGATGGCAGTTAGACCACAGAAAGACAGGGACCAGAACTGGAAAACAATCAGAAATCAAAGCCACTACTTTCTCAGATTTCCTTCCCAGATCCTTGGGGTCACAGAATTTCTCAGCATATGTCATTAAGGATCTTCTTTCTCCCCACCACAATGGCTTTCTCTACTTCTCTGCCCACATGATAAAAGATGGCCCCACGTAGAGCCCAAGATTGGCAATGCTTTAGCTTGAGCAACCATCTGAGCCTGAATTGGACCACCGAATTCTCATACCAAAATCCCAAAGAAGGAAACTTATTCCATGCTGCCCACATAGGCTACAAAAAAACTATGAAAGAACTATGACCCAGAGAGGCCATCATGTAACACCAGCTTGGCTGCGTCGAACGTTGAAGGAACAGTTCTTAGAGAAGGGGAGCACTCTCAGGAGAGGGTAACCCAGAACTCTATGACAGCTGAGCTATCATAGAGTTACAGCACTAAGTCAACCTACAGAGAACTGGGCAAGGCCACTTGTGTGGGGATAGAGGTGTTTGCAGCAAAGAGGGCAGTGCAGAACCTGTCCAGTCCTTCAGCCAATATTTTAGTGTCTGGAGCAACTTCCAGGAGCATCTAGAGATGTAGAGCGGCCAGCTGCAAACACCTGGGCTGGCACTGGAAGTGGACAAGTGGGAAGTACACCAGGAAGCCACTGAGCAGGAAGAGGAAGATGTTTAGGAACTCTGTCTGGGGATGGTTGATGACGGGCGCCAGCACCAGTAGAGATAAGCCAGGAGTGTGATGGCGGGAATGAAGGTGGGAACCTGCAGTGGGCACGGTGGGGATTTGGCCCCTGAGACCCAGATGATGAAGGGGGAACAGGAGGTAGTGTGTGGTCCACAGGCTCTGTCCCTCCTGCCTGCCTTCCTGTTGTTTACACCTGCAGGCAGCTCCTCTCTTCCACTCCCTGCCATTAAACTTCGCCTGGACCAGGAGAGCCACCTGCTGGGCTACTGGAGGCTCTCCAGGGAGCAGAGCCTTGGGAGCCAGCATTCTGCTCTCTGTGCTGTGTGAACCCAAGTGTGTGCACGGATTCTCTCTGCATCTGTTTTCCCTCCGAGTCCTCAAGAGGAGAAATGAGTCCCTGGCAAGCAAAGTTAATGCCTTGTGATTCAACTGTCCCTCCAGCCCCAGAAAAATATGGAAATTCTCTACCAAATATAATGATCGTGGCAGCCCCGTACAGTCTTCTTCTTGGCTCTGAATGAGGCTGTGGCCCAAAGACCTGCCTCACGCAGGAGCCTAGGGTTGGAAAAGCCCAAAGTCTGTCTCAAAGTCTACCTTGCAGACTTCGTAAGACCTTACCTTGTAAGGTGGGGGCACAGGCATGTGCCACCACTCCTGGCTAAATTTTGTATTTTTAGTAAAGACGGGGTTTCACCATGTTGGCCAGGTTGGTCACAAACTCCTGACCTCAACTGATCTACCCACCTCGGCCTCCCAAAGTGCTGGGATTACAGGTGTGAGCCACCGCACCTAGCGATCCTCTCTTAAAGAAAGAAAAAAGAAAATCTTGGTAGAATCTCAAGGAAGCCTGTGCTGTCTTCAGGGACAGCACACCCACAGCAGAACCCCCACCCCCACCAACAACCACCTATCATTTCCCTCTGGGCTGGTGGCATGGTGAGCTGGGCCACTGAGCACCCAGACAAACCCTTTGCTGTGCCCTCCCCAGTGCTTGTAGTTGGGTGGCTGATGTAGGTCTGATAAAAACTCCTAACCCTGGAAGCAGGGTCCAGACCAGGTTATCTTTGGAGATGGTCAGTGCTGGGAGATGTTGGGTCCTACTTGGGATGGACCATTCAGGAATCCTCATTCTGCAGAGACATCCTCAACCACATTCCCCAGTCTCAGCCTAAAGTCCCCCTAAGCTCACTATGGATTTGATTTTGTTCTTACCGTATACTGATTTTATTCTTTCTTATAGGAAAAAAATAAAAGAAAAAACCCTTGTATGTTACTTACTGTTCTTAAGAGAGTCGCATCAAGCACAGTACAAGCTGTTCCAAATTAATTAGCCTATGACAACAGAGAAAGAAAACGGGCAATGCTTAAAAACTTCTTCTGGGCCGGGTGCGGCAGCTCACATCTGTAATCCAGCACTTTGGAAGGCAGAGGTGGGAGGATCACTTGAGTCCAGGAGTTCAAGACCAGCCGGGGCAACATAGCAAGACCTCATCTCTATTTATTTAAAATAAGTATATAAATAATAATTTTAAAAACTTCTGAGAACTCCCTCTGCACCCAGACATTACGCTTGCCTGCTGCCCATTGACCCTGCTTCAAATGAGATCATAAACTGCATATCATAACAGCCCATCAATTTCTGCCCTTGAGAAAGTAATAAATGGGGTCAGAACATGATTATTGTGCCTGTGCAGATTGGTTGTGGCTCTGACCTGCGTTCAGTAGAGATCATGTTAGGCCAGAGTTCAGAATGCAGACCTCGACCATAAAGGAAAAATCGTACCACAGCCGGGGGCTACACAGGTAGCGAGAATAATGCCTGAATATTCCTTAACATCATCTTAGCAACAGAATAAAGGAAAAAGAAAAAAGGAAAACTGACAAAGACAGCAGAAGCCTTTAATGTGTCTGTCTCTTGGTAAACATATGTCTTACTGAATTTTTAGAAACAGGGCAAGAGAGGAGAGAGCCATGTTTAATTTTGGAAACACGACTGGGAAAGCATGGCTGAAATGTAGATGCGTGTTCAGGGGACCTGAGCCTGGGCTTGCAGAAGTGTGCATGGGTGTGTCTACATCTATATGCACATGTGAGTGTGAGTGTGTACACACAGGGGTCTCCAGAGGTGTGTGCACATTTATGACTACATGTACTACACATATGTGTGTATATAGTGGGAGGGGTCCAGGGGTGTGCATGCATGTTTATGTACACATGCATGTGTGTGAATGTGTACACACGGGGGCTTCAGATACCTGATGTGGGAGGACCGTCTCACTTGCCTTATGAAGTTCACGGTGGTACTGAAACTTCCTGGAATGCCCAGGACCAAAGCCACAGCCATGGTGAACATCAGGGCTGGAGTTGGTATGGGACGATAAATAAGAGCCATTGACAGAATTCAGGGCTGGAAAGCAGAGCTGAGTGTCAAGCAGGCCCCAGGGGAGCCACAGGGAGCATCTCTTCCCCGGTCGAACACACTCTGGACACCAGAATGACCAACCTAACAGTAACTAGTCACCACAGCTTCCAGAGGTAGGTCTCTGTGGTTCACCTGGGGTAACCAGGTCCAGGGAGGAGAGGACACAGCAGGTATGGATGGACCATGGAGAGGAATATGGGATTACTGTGGAGACTGTTTTTTTGGTTTTTTTTGTTTGTTTGTTTTTTGAGATGGATTCTTGCTCTGTCGCCTACTCTGGAGTGCAGTGGCTCGATCTCGGCTCGCCGCAACCTCCACCTCCTGGGTTCAAGTGATTCTCCTGCCTCAGCCTCCTGAGTAGCTGGGATTACAGGTGCCCGCCACTACGCCCAGCTAATTTTTGTATTTTTAGTAGAGATGGAGTTTCACCATATTGGCCAGGCTGGTCTTGAACTCCTGACCTCAGGTGATCTGCCCGCCTCAGCCTCCCAAAGTGTTGAGATTACAGGCGTGAGCCACCGCGCCCAGCCAAGACTGTATTATTATTCATCAAATATTCAGCCTTCCTCTCCCCACCTTTGTGGGAGGAATATCAGTCCCCCATTCATTGACGTGGAGTCTGGCTGTGTTACTTGCTTGGACCAATAAAATGTGAGCTGGAGTGACAAGTAGATTCTCTAAATATGCTTATGTAGTTTGGCTTGGTCTCTTGAACCTCTGTTACCTGCTATAGGCAATATCATGCCCCCAGTAGTGGCTACTGCCTTGACCTTAGTACCTGAGATAAGGATAGACTCAGACCAAGGTGAGACCCCAAGCAAGCCACAGCCTGAAGCCAAGCCACAGCCAACCCCTTGACTTGGGAACAACAGTCAAATGTTGTTGCAAGCCACTGAGAGTTGGGGTCTATTATTCAGCAGTATTGCAGTCAAAGGTAACACCAGCGCAGAGTCCCCAGGGGGAGAAGACCCAGAGGGTACACAACCGCACTAATATTGTCTCTCCTCCCCATGGCCCCCGCACTACCAATGAGCACAAATATCTTTATTGCCAGTCCCCGACCTAGTGTGACTCCGTACTGTGATCTCCCAAAAACCCAGAAGTAAAGGGATTAGAGTTAAAGCTGAGAAGTATGGAGTGCCTAAGTCCCATCCTCAGAAGAAAAGAGGGCTATATCTTACAGGGAAAGTCCTGTTTTGGGCCAAATGCTAAGCTTCAGGCAGGAGAAAGCGTAGCTGGCTGGCCCTGTGGCACCCCTCCTGCAGCCCCACCTTCTTGCCCAGGCCCAGGCCCCATCTCTCACCACGTGGCCCTCTCTTGCAGCCACATAGCACAAACGATTTCCGTTGAAGAACATCTCACTGATGGAACCAAATGTTGAGACTGCAACAGCCAAGGGCACCAGCCAGGCCCAGAACCTGGTTCCAAGGAAATCAAGGGATCAGGGGAAGGAATTCCAACAGCACCCTGGAAGAAGCCACAAGGCCCCACTCAGAAATGGAGCAAGCGACACATTCAAAGACAAGTTTAAATACACAGGGAGCACTTTCCTTCCCCAGCCTGGAAAGTCTGCTCGGTGTCCAAAGGACACACCGTGTGATGCAGTCACCCCCAGTTCACAGCCATAGCGTCAGCAGAGAGGGTCTCACTGGGTGATAGCACTAGCAGGTAACTGAGGTTGACCAGGATATACAGGCTGGTGACCAGGGGGGATGGCCCTCACTAGTGCCCACACCAGGTTCTGCTGCAGGGTCAGGGAGAAGGGGGCACATGTTAGCCAGGGAGGCATTGCTCAGGTGACCAGGACAAGCTCCACAGCACAGTGGTGAGCTCATCCCAGCAGCAAGGAGTTGTGCCACGCCCTGGGGGATGAGTCAGGCCAGGTGCCCCTCCTCCTGAGCTCACGCCCCCCCCCCCCCCCCACAGCCTAGACACTCATTCAGGCAGATGGGCTGGGAGGCTGTGAGGGTCATTAATTAGAATCAGAGCAGCAGAGGTACAAGGGGGCTGGCAGGGCTGGGAGAAGAGTGGAGTGATCACCAAAGCTTCTGGAATGAGGAGGACCAGAAGCTGGGCTCTCCTTGAAGAATGGAAGAGATTCAGGTAGCTAGGAAGGAGAAGAATTCTCAGCAGGAGCAACCACAGACAGGAGGCAGAGAAGTTAAAGATCTCATTAGTCTGCTACTCCCTGATCAATCCAGCTGGAGTATTTCAGGACCCACTGCCCCAACCCTGCCTAGTTCCTGGGTTCTCAGGACTCTGGCCCAGACTGAGGGCCACTACACTGGGGCTTCTACTGCAACCCTTGGCTTCTGCAACTGGAAATGGGGAATCACTGGGGGTCTGTAAAATGGGACTCCTCACTGCTCGGCCTCTGCATGGGTGAGGCCCAATGGAGAAGATAGGCAGGGAAGGGTCTAGACACAGAGGTTTTGGGCACTTGGATCGGTTCACACTGTTGCAGCCTCAGCCCCCAGCTGACCTAGAGTCCCCCAATAAATGTATTGAACAGACATTCAGTTCATTCTGAGGAATGAATGAAAAGTGCATTAAACCTGAGTGTAGACAGTTCCTCCCACTCTGCACCCCCAGCCCTGAACACCATTCTGAAGCCCAGAGCAAATGGACAGAAGAGGACTCCTTCTGGACCCACAGAACTCCAAGATTTTCCAGGCTCAAACCAGTCGCAGATTGGCATCTTTAGACCCCCAAGTAGGAAGACACTTCAGAAGAAGCCATGTCTGAGGCACCACTGGTCTCCTGGAGGGCATGATCTGGGTGTCCCTTGGCTTACCTTGGGAAAGCCAGGCACGCATTTGCAAGGCTTTTTCCTTCGCTGCTGTTTGGGCACGGTACCAAACTGTGCATTCGAACACAGCGTTGCTGTTATTGAAATTTAAAACATAACCTTCAGCGAAACAGAGAAGAGGCGATTCTTTACCAAGATGCAGGTAGATATCTTGCAGAGCTTGGCACAGAGCAACCCCCATGGGGGCTGCACCAAGGTCCCAAACAGGCCTCCTCTCACCCACCAGATAAGGCCCTCCCCACATTTAAGCATCTGCTTCTGATTAGCATGCCTTCCCCTCTTCAGCATGATATAAAAAGCAATGTTCAGATCTTTCTGCCAGGGCTGAGATCTGCCCACAGAAAACTTCAGAGCTGGGTATGGAAGGGAAGTCATGGTGGCATTGAATAGTAATCTCAGGACTCACTTCAGGTCCCTGTGATCAGCCCCAGCGATGAGGCTGCTCTCACTCACTGACATATTTCCTTGTGGCGCAGACATGCCTTGCCCTTTTTGGTGTCTGGATTGTTCATGCTGCTCCACATAGCTGTGTTGCCACAGGCTGCATCTGCCCTTGGAGGCTTGGCTCCAGACTCCTCTCCCAGGAAGCCTCGTTGGGCTGCTCTGCCTTGCCAGTCACACTGCCTGGTGGGCTACGTGGAAAATTTGTGAAAGTGAAGCCAATTGCACACCAGTGGATTCTCGTATGAGGTGGGTCCTCTCAGGTCCCTCCCAGCCCTAAAATCGGGGATTCTTACAAAAATTAGCCTGGCGTGGTGGGGCATGCCTGTACTCCCAGCTACTTGGGAGGCTGAGGCAGGAGAATCGCTTGAACTGGAGAGGCAGAGGTTGCAAGGAGCCTGCACTCCACTGCACTCCAGCCTGGGTGACAGAGCAAGACTCTGTCTAAAATCGGGGATTCTGAGGGCAAAGGAAATTGCCCCAACCACCACATAGGCATAGCAGCAAATTCCTCATCACTCCAGTGCTGGAATTATGGCTCTCCCAAATGAGGTACTCAGATGAGGCTGCCAGTAGCCAAAGTGGGCCAGTAGAGTGGAGTGTTCCCTCCCACAGGTCTCGGGGTGGGATGGCTTCAGCAAGATGACCACCCACCACGCATGGCCCAGCCCCACAGTCAGAGGGCAGAGGCTGGGTTTGCCTCTGAACTTGACCTCATCTTAGGGAGCTCTCCCACCAGCTAAAGAGCTGTGATGATTGCAGAGCCCTGAGTTGCGCCACAGACAGGTTTCTGGCCAAGACAACAAGAACAGATTTTCTGATTTCATGCTCAGGTACCTTCATTCTTCACTCAAATCCCAGGGAGTCTGGGCATAAGGCTGGCCCCAGTTTGGCAAAGGTTTTGCAGTTTCTTGAAAAAAAGTATGAAATAAACAAAGACACACCTAACATGTACTTTAGAGGGCAAAGTTGGAGCCAGAATCCCAAATGCCCAGCATTCAGAGGAACGGCTTTATATTTGCTTTGAAACTCACATTTGTCAAAAATGCTCTATACGCAGCAGGGATCAACAAAGTACAGCCCTAGACCAACTTCAGCCCACCACCTAGTTTTGTAAATAAAGTTTTATTGGAACACAGCCCCACTCATGTATTTATCTTGGCCATTTTCATGCTACAACAGAGTCGAGTAGTTGGGACAGAGACCATTTGGCCCACTGTGGGGACAAGAGTGAGTTTATTTTAAATGCTAATCCCCAGCTGGGCATGGTGGCTCACGCCTGTAATCCCAGCACTTTGGGAGGCTGAGGTGAGTGGATCATTTGAGGTCAGGAGTTTGAGACCAGTCTGGCCAACATGGTGAAACCCCATCTTTACTAAAAATACAAAATTTAGCCAGGGGTGGTGGCAAGCATCTACTAAAAATACAAAAAGGATCCGGACGTGGTGGCAGGTGACTGTAGTCCCAGCTACTCAAGAGGTTGAGGTTGGAGGATTGCTTGAACCCAGGAGGCAGAGGCTGCAGTGAGCTGAGATCGCACCACTGCACTCCAGCCTGGGTGACAGAGCAAGACTGTGTCTCAAAAAAACAAAACAAAACAAATAATAAAATAAAAATAAATGCTAATCCCCCAGGTGACTTCTGACTAGCCCCACGTCTGGGAATGCCTCCATCATCTAGTTGATGTTTTATTCTTTGTGTGGGAACACCTATTCACTGTAAGTGTCACCTTCCCTGAAAACAACCTTTGCTGTTGGTCCATATAGCATAGGCTGTGACACCCATAGCAATGTACACGTGCCTTCCAAAGCACATATACTTTTTCCCCAACATATAAGCCCCGGGTCTGGGTTGGGGGTGCAGTACAGAGATCTACCTGTCTTGCAGCCACCCAAGACCCTGCTTCTGTCTGTAAGTTCCCTGACCTTCTATTGACAAACTGAATTTGTCTGTCTCATTCTTTGGTTTCTCAGCTCTTTTGGCGTTTGGGGGCCACTTTGGATATACAGCCCTTTGACAGAACACTCACAAAGCCAAAAACATTAACTCTCTGGATCCTTTATCGCAAAGGTTTGCCAGTCCCTGCTCTAAGCATGGGGTCTTGTCTGCCTCATTTTTGGACCCCCTATTCTTTCCCAAGTCCAGCTCTGAGCCCAGCGTGTGGGTTCAGAGAGAGAGGGCTCTCGCCCTGTGAACTGAAGGAGCCAGTGCCCCTGCCTGTAGTTCCCA